>NC_000010.11:80143095-80294610 GCF_000001405.40 Homo sapiens
TGGTACAATCTTGGCTCACTGCAACCTCTGCCTCCCAGGTTCCAGTGATTCTCATGCCTCAACCTCCCGAGTAGCTGGGACTACAGGCATGCACCACCATGCCCAGCTAATTTTTTGTACTTACCATGCCCGGCTAATTTTTTGTACCTCTGGTAGAGATGGGGTTTCACCATGTTGGCCAGGCTAGTCTCAAACTCCTGACCTCAAGTGATCTCGCCTCAACCTCCCAAAGTGCTGGGATTACAGGCGTGAGCCACCATGCTGGGCCAAAAAGTTTAATTTTAAATACTTGAATTTTTTTTTTTTTTTTTTTTTTTTTTGAGGCAGAGTCTCACTCTGTCACCCAGGCTGGAGTGCAATGGTGTGATCTCGGCTCACTGCAACCTCCACCTCCCGGTTCAAGTGATTCTCTTGCCTCAGCCTCCCGAGTAGCTGAGACTACAGACGCGCACCACCATGCCCGGCTTCTTTTTGTATTTTTAGTAGAGACAGGGTTTCGCCACGTTGGCTAGGCTGATCTTGAACTCCTGACCTCCGATGATCTGCCCCCCTTGGCCTCCCAAAGTGCTGGGATTACAGGCGTGAGCCACCACGCCCGGCCTAATACTTGAATAATATTTTAATGCAATTGGTGCCCTTAGTAATTCTATATGTTTTATTTTTTGCATTTAAGGCATTATTCTGAGAAGAGGTCTGTAGGCTTCACCACACTGCCAATGGGGTCCATGGCATACACAGGGAAAAACCATTAAGAACTCAGTAAATTTCAGAATCCCAAACCTGTCATTTGGCAGAGATACCACCAGGGGGCGGAACAACAAAAGGAATGTGAGCTCCAGGCTGCAAAGTCCAAAAGGGAGAAGGTATTCTACAGGCGCTTCATCCAAATCTGTGACTAAGTGCCAAAAAAGAAGGAGCCTTAGAGAGCAAGCCCCCTAGGATATTGTCATCTGGGGAAACTGAGGCAGGTAGGGGCAGAGCCTGAGTGAGGAAAACCCAGGTCACTTAGCGCCCAGTCCTTTCCCACTGCACCGCACTGGACCGCCAGCTGCTCTCTTAGGACCTAGCTGATGAAGCGGAACGTGGAACCACTTCTGTCCTCGACTTTACCCCACTTCCCACTCTAGATGGTAGAGAAGACCGTGGATCACCTGGGGACAGAGGTGAAAGGCCTGCTGGGCCTGCTGGAGGAGCTGGCCTGGAACCTGCCCCCGGGACCCTTCAGCCCCGCTCCCGACCTTCTCGGAGGTGAGCAGTGCAGGTGGCAGAGGACAGCCTCTGGGCGGCTGTCATCTGGCGCTGGGCAGGCGAGACAGGGACGGCTGCTCCACTGCACAGGTGTAGCCTGGCTGGCAGGGAGGGCCCCAGCGCTCCCTGGGGACGGAAGCGGGACGGCATCATCCCTGCTCCCCGCCCGCCCCGCCCCACCTGCCACACCCGGTGGCTGCCGCCCAGTGTCAAATGAGGTTCTGGAAGAGCCGGCCCTAGATGCCATCTCAGCACAACCCCTGCGCGGAGAAACTGCCTCCTTCATTAGCCTTCTCACGACTGGAGCTTCTCAGCTCCTTTAATTTTCCCCTGAGCAGCCACTCCTGTTCCACCCCAAAACTCTCGCAGGGAAGACGGGCGTCCCCACTGATCAGGCAGGGTTGGGGTTGCACTCTGCTCTCTCCTTGATCCTTGTGTCCCGCGCGCAGTAGTTCCTGGGGGCCGGGGAGGGAAGGGAAGGAACTGCTGGGCACCACGGGGGCAGGTACTCTGCGGCACCCCAGCTTGCTCACTGGGGGCCTCTGCTTTCTTTCAGATGGCTTCTGAGCCCTGGAGCTGGAGCCCAGCAGTTGGAGGTGGTGCACCTGCCAGGCAGCGCCCACAGAACCAGCCCTGTCCTCTCGACTTCCTTCCTTAGCTTCATGTGAAATAAAAGCTATTCTGGTCTCCTCTGTGTCTGCTGACAGAGTAACCCGTTTAACTACAGCCTCCTCTCACTCCACTTCCATGCCTGGAGGAAGCCTGCAACCCCCTCCAGGCTCAGACCTGGGGACACCCCCACTCCTGTCATTTATAGGGGCAGATGGAGCAGGGGTTGATTCACACAGATGGGGGCCCTTTGAGTGGCCTTGCTTCTCAAAATGTGGCCATAGGTGAAAAGCAAGGGGATCAGGGTCTCAGGACCCACCCAGACTGTTTAATCCAAATCTGCATTGCAATGAGACCCCCAGGGATTTTATGTGTCCATTAAAGTGGTTTGTTGTTGTTTTTAAAAATTTTTCCTATGAAGTGAAATTCAATGTAAAATTCATCATTTTAACCATTTTAAATTGTACAAGGCTGGGGGCGGTGGCTTACACCTATAATCCTAGCCCTTTGGGAGGCCAAGGTAGGAGGATCACTTGAGCCCAGAAGTTTGAGACCAGCCTGGGCAACATGGTGAAACCCCATCCCTACAAAAAAATACAAAAATTAGCCGGGCATAGTGGCACGTGCCTGTAGTCCCAGCTACTCAGGAGGCTGAGGTGGGAGGATCACCTGAGCCCTGGAGGTCAAGGCTGTGGTGAGCCATGATCATGCCACTGCACTCCAGCCTGGGAGACAGTGAGACCTTGTCTCAAAAAAAAAAAAAAGAAAAAGAAAAAAAATTGTACAAATGCAGTGGCTTCCAGTACATTCAGAAGTTGTGCAGTCATCACCACCAGTTCCAGAACATTGTTCTCTCTCTAGAAAGAAACTGTGTATCTATTAAGCAGTCACATCCCATTCCCGCTCCCCACACCCCACTGGAAACCACTGATCTCTGTCTTCACGAACTTGCCTATTCTGGACATTTTAAATACAGTAGTCCGGCTTTATCTGTGGTTTCACCTTCCATGGTTTCAGTTACCTGCAGTCAACCACAGTCCTAAAATATTAAACTCCAGAAATAAACAATATATGAGTTTTCAATTGCACATCATTCTAAGTGGCGTGATGAAATCTCTTGCCATCCCACTTCATCCCGCCCCGGATGTGAATGCTCCCTTTGTCCAGCATGGTCCACGCCGTCTACACTTCCTGCCTGTTAGTCACTTAGCAGCCTTCTCAGTTACCAGATCAATGGCCACAGTATCACAGTGCTTGTGTTCCAGCAACACTTCTTTCTCTTAATCAAGACCCAAAGTGCAAGAGCAGTGCTGCTGGCATATGGTTGTTGTTTTTCACACAACTCTCCCTTCACAGAAGCTGGCATATTGTTCTAATTGTTCTATTTTATTCTTAGCTATCGTTGCTAATTTCTTATGGTGCCTAATTTATAAATTAAACTTCATAGGTATGCATGCATAGGAAAAAACATAGTATAATAGGATTAGATACTATTGTGGTTTCAGGCATCTGCTAGGGGTATTGAAATTTATCCCCTGAAGGTAAGGGGGTAGTACTGTAGGTAGAATCACACAATACGTAGTCTAGCTGTATCTGGCTTCTTTCTCTGAGCATAATGTTTTCAAGGGCCATCTGTATTGTAGCATGTATCGGTACTTAATTCCTTCTTACGGATGAATAATGTTTCATTGTATGAATATACCACATTTTATTCTTTTATTTTTTTAGACAGAGTCTCGCTCTGTCACCCATGCTGTAGTGCAGTGGCATGATCTCAGCTCACTGCAACCTCTGCCTCCCGGGTTCAGGCAATTCTCCTGCCTCAGCTTCCTGGGTAGCTGGAATTACAGGTGCACACCACCACGCCTGGCTAATTTTTGTATTTTCAGTAGAGACAGGGTTTCACCATGTTGGTCAGGCTGGTCTTGAACTTCTGACTTCTTGATCCACCCGCCTCAGCCTCCCAAAGTGCTGGGATTACAGGTGTGAGCCACCACACCTGGCCCACATTTTATTCATTTATTCGACAATTGAGGGACATTTGGGTTGTTTGCATTTTTTAGCTATCATGAATAATGTTGCTATGAACATCCGTATGAGTTTTTGTGTGAATATTTGTTTTTTAATTTGTTTTGGGTCTATATGTAGGAATGAAATTGCTGAGTCACATGGTAACTCTTACGTTTAACTTTTTGAAGAACCACCAAACTCTTTTGTATTGCAGCTGTACTATTTTACATTCCCACCTGCAATATTAGCTGTGGCTTATTCATAGATGCCCTCTAGCAGGTTGAGACATTTTCCTTCTAGTCTTAGTTGAGTGTTTTTTTAATCATGAAAGGATGTTGGGTTTTTTCAAATGCTTTTTCTGCATCAATTGAGATGATCATGTGATTTTCCCCTTTCATTTTATTAATTACATGCATTACATCGATTTTTTTTTTTTTTTTTTTAAGACAGAGTCTCACTCTGTTGCTCAGGCTGGAGTGCAGTGGCACGATCTCAGCTCACTGCAACCTCTGCCTCCCAGGTTTAAGCAATTCTCCTGCCTTAGCCTCCCGAGTAGCTGGGATTACAGGCACCCACCACCATACCCGGCTAATTTTTGTATTTTTAGTAGAGACAGGGTTTCGCCATGTTGGCCAGGCTGGTCTTGAACTTCTGACCTCAGGTGATCCACCCGCCTTGGCCTCCCAAAGTGCTGGGATTACAGGCATGAGTGAGCCACTGTGCTTGGCCTGATTTTCATATATTAAATGACCTTTGCAGTCCTGGGATAAATTTCACTTGGTCATGGTGTATAATGCTTTTAATATGCTGCTGGATTTAGTCTGCCAGCATGTTGTTCAGGATTTTCGTTCCTGGGCCACAATTCTAGACACACCCTGGGCTGGAAGGGAACCCACTGCCTTGAAGGAAAGGACCCAGTCTTGGCTGCATTCATTGCCTGTTAACTGAAGAGCCCTTGGTCCCTGAATAACCAGCAGAGATACCTGGGTACTATGCTGAGGGCCTTGGGTGAGACTCGGTCTTGTCGGTTTCAGGTTCAGATTCAGCCAGCACATTCCCAGCTGTGGTGGTTACAAGGCAAGATTCCTGCTAGAGAAAAGTGGAGGGAAAAGTAAAGTGGGCTTTGTCTTACACCTTAGATACCAGCTCAACCACAGGACAGTAAAGCACCAAATGGTTCTTGGGAATGCCAATTCCAGGACTTGTCTCTTAGATGGCATTTATGGACCTACCCTGGGCCAGAGGGGCGCCCACTGCCCTGGAGGGGGGGGTCCCATGCCAGGCAGCATTCACCACCAGCTGGTTGAAGACTCCCTGGGCCTTAAGAGAACATCAGCAGTAGTCTGGCAGTACTCCCTGTGGGCCTGTGGTGGCGGTGGCCATGGAGTGAGGCACCTCTGCCTTGGGAAAGCGGAAGCAAGAGAGGGAAGGACTGCATCTTGTGGATTCAGTGCCAGCTCACCTGCAGTATAACAGAACACCAGGTAGACTTCTAAGATTTTTTACCCTAGTTGCTGGCTCCCAGATGGCACCTTTGGGCCCAGCTGGGGCCTGGAGGACCTTGCTGTTCTGAAGGGAAGGACACAAGCCTGGCTGGCTCTGCCACCAGCCGATTGTAGAGCCCCAGGGCCTTGAGCAGACACAGGCAGTAGCCAGGGAGTGGTAACTGCAGGCCTTGGGTGAGAGCCAGTGCTGTGCTGGCTTTCAGGTCTGACCCAGTGCAGTCCTAGTGGTGGTGGCCACAGGGGTGCTTGTGTCCTTTCACCCCCAGCTTCAGGTGGCTTAGAACAGAGAAAGGGACTCCCTTTGTTTGGGAGACAGTAACGGAATGAACAAGAGTCTCTGTATGGTAATACAGAGAATCCTGAATCTTGTCCAAGACCATCAAGGCAGTAACTCTATGAGGCTAAAAAAAAACCAAAGTGTTATTGGGCTTGGGGTGAATCCTTAAGCAGATACAGCTTAGAGCACAACACCCAAGCCATTCAAATATCTGGAAAGCCTTCCCAAGAAGGATAGGTACAAACAAGCACAGACTGTGAAGACTATGATAAATACCTAACTCTTCAATGCTCAGACACAGATGAACATCTACAAGTATCAAGACCACCCAAGATTTTCCTTTCAGCACACTGAATATGTCATCTCATTGCCTTCTCACTTCCATGATGTTGGATGAGAAATTGGCTATTAATCTTATCGAAGATTTCTTGTACGTGTCCAGTGGCTCTTTCTGCTTTCAGGATTTGCTTTGCTTTTGGACAGTATGATTATAATGTGTTTCAATGTCACACTGAGTGTCTCTTTGAGTTGACCCTACTTACAATTCATTGAGCTTTTTGTATGTGTAGATTAATGTCTTTCATTATGTTTTCAGCCATTGTTTCTTTAAAAATTTCTTCTACATTCACTCTTCTCTTGATTCTTATTAGGTGTATGTTGGTACACTTGATGGTGTCCTGCAGGTGTCTTAGGCTCAGTTAGCTTTTTTGTTGTTGTTGTTTTCTTTCTGCACCTCAGAATGGGTAATCTCAATTGACCTATCTTGAAGTTTGCTGATTTTTGTCTTCTTCCTTTTTAAGTCTGCTCTGGAACCCTTCCAATGAATTTTTTATTTGTGTACTTCTCAATTCCAGAACTTCTATTTGGTTCCTTTTTATAATTCCAGTCTCTTTACCAATATTGGTGAGACATCATTCTCCTGGTTTCCTTTAGTTCTTTGACCTTTCTGAAAATAATTGACTTAAAGTCTTGTCTGTTAAGTCCAATGTCTGAGCTTTCCTCAGTTTCTATTAACAGATTTTTTTTCTATGTATGAGCCATACTTTGTTTCTTCGCATACCTCATAGTTTTTGTTGAAAACTGAACATTCTGAATATTATTTATAATGTGGCAAGTTTGGAAATAAAATTATTCCTCCACTGTGTCACCTAGGCTGGAGTGCAATGGCAGGATTATGGCTCACTACAGCCTGGACCTCCCAGGGTCAGGTGATCCTCCCACCTCAGCCTCCTGGGCAGCTGGGACTATAAGTGTGTGCCACCAGGCCCTGCAAATTTTTAGTATTTTTTGCAGAGATGGGGTTTTGCCATGTTGCCCAGGCTGGTCTCAAAGTCCTGGGTTCAAGTGATCCACCTGCCTCAGCCTCCCAAAGTGCTGGGATTACCGATGTGAGCCACTGTGCCCAGCCTGTTATTTTCTTGAACTACATTTTTAGTTTTTTAGTTTGTATTCTTTGTCAGGTGTGGCCACTAAGTCTTTGGTTAGCTTAGTGGTCAGCTAGTGATTCAAAAGATTTCTTTGAACACTTGGAACAACAAAATGCCTCGTAGCATTTGCAGATGTGTTCTGTGTTGGGACACACCTTTCAACCTTCACCCATGCAGTTTATAACTATGCCTTAGCCTTCACTTCCTGCTTGCACGGAGCCTGAAGGTCAGGCAGAGGTGACAGCATAGGGCCCTCTCAAGTCTTTTTAAGCACATGCCCAGCCCTAGGCATGTGTATGGTCTTTCAGATTCCCAGGAATATGTGGAATCTCTTTAAAGTCCTTATTCTCACCCAAAGAATCTTATTTCCTAGCCTTTCCTCCTGAAGCTTTTCAATTTGTCTCCTGTTTGCTCCAAATGTTATTCCTTCCCCTAGGCATGAGCCACTAATACACTGACCTTGAAACGTCTTTCCAGGCTGCCATCTTCACTTTAGGAGAGCTCCAAATTAGGCAAAATAAAAGAAAGGCATTTGAACCAGTCCTTCAGGGAGCAACAAATCAAATCAAAATCAACATACTTCTTGAAAATAAGGTCTAATCTGCTACCTCCAGTGACAGGAACCTATACAGGGAATGAGGGATATTGTTTTTGATGCTGCTGCCATGCTGGGGAGTGGGGGATGGGGCCAGGGTAAGCTAAAACACAACAAAGCTCTCTTACTAAATCCAGCTTTTATTCTTAGGTATTCACCTGATTGCTGTAAACTTTCAATTCGTTTCCAGAGTTCCCATAAATTTGAGTTTTTGCCACCTTATTTGCTGCTTTTGTGGAAGGACAGACTTGTGGAATTTCCTATTCCATTTCGTTGACCACATTAAAGTTTTAGAAGCTCTCCTCTAGTCTACCCTTCATTTTAAAAAGTCAAAAAGACAGGAAGTGACATATCCAGGGTCACACAACAAATCAGGGGCTGAGCTGAGATCAGAATAAGGATGTTTGACTCTCAGGTCAGAGCTCTTTCTGCTTCAGGACTTCATCAGCTCTTAGTGTTGAGAAGGAGTCAGGCTCAAGCTAAACACCAATATTAGGCCAAGGGGCAGCTTTCCAAGGAGTAGGGGCTGAGGGTAAGAGTCCTTGGTATACCTGGTGGGCTTGACTGACTCCTTTACTGACAGGGGACCCTACATGAGTCCAGGTTGTGGACTGAGTAATGATGTCCCTATCCCTTAGAAAAACACAGGCAGAGAGCTTTCAGATTTGATGGGGGTGAAAATGTAAACCTTTATCTTTCTGAGGACATGTATTTAGCTTGATGTTTCTAGGTCTCATTCCACTCCATCTCGGCCAGGGCAGGAAAGAGCCTACAGCAGAAATAAGGAGCCAGGTCCTAAGGTAGGGCTGTAACTCCCTGCCAAGGCCAACAGAAAATGGGCATGGCATGGCATTAAACCACCACTTTGACCGTGGGCACCTGCAAAGGTTCATCTTTCAGCTCCCTCTTCCCAAAGCTAGGAGTGCCTCATCTCATCTCTCATCACCTGACTGAATTCCAAGCAGACTGTGCCATCTGCTCACCTGCCCTCTGGAGGAACACCTCTACTTTTGCGGTGTTCTCTGTGTGAGCACAGTAGTATTTAGATAAGCGTTAGATTACAGCAGGTTACAGATGCAGTTTCCCAGTCCCCACACCTGCTCAAAATGCATGAGGGTCTGACCGCAGGAACTGCTCTTTAGCAAGCTCCCCTGATGATCCTGATACACACTCAGGCTTGAAAACCACCACTTTAGGACCATCTACCCAGCCACAGGGTGAGCACTCCAAGGTTTCTTTCTTAAATTTTGCACCTGAGACAAATGCCACCAGGACTAGGGTGAGGCGAGTGAGGCTATCTGTCTCAGGTGCAAAACTATTTAATAGTGTTTCCTCCAGCGCCCCCACAGCTGCTGAAAATTCTCTCAGGGCTGAATTCATCTGGTGCTTCTATTTTAGAAGTCAGACTAGATGTGTAGCATGGACTGGCCTTGACTAACATATCCAGGAGGCAGGAGAAGACCCATTGTGTTCTATCCCAGAAAGATGACCTGTAAGGTTGCACATCTTTCTCCCTATCTTTTTTGTCCTAAGCATAATAAACAGTGTTGATCCCAACCTCCCACTGACCTTGGAAGGCAGTAGGTGCCTTTGCCTCTGGGAAGATCATGAGGCATTCATGCAGTCCTCCAGCCCATACTTAACATGGGTTGGATCTCTTGGGAGTGACCATGAGGGCAGCGAGAGGAACAGGAAGGCAGGGAGAAACAGGACTAGGACAAACACAGGTGTCAGGTCCACAACTATGCCAAATGTCATGCCCAGGGTCAGGTTCCAGCCCATGCTGAGGTTCGAGGGGACTGGGTGGATGGGCGATAGCTGAAAGAAAACCTGGCGGGCCATAGGCAGGTAAAATGTAGTTTTATTCAGCAGCTATCTCATCAGCAGCTCTCACACTGTCCACCTTTACCTAGGCTGTCTTCTCCAGATCTGCAGCTCCTCTCAGCAGCCAGCTCTGTGGCTCCTGCCACCCCCATGCTTGCAGGTGCACTCCCTGGCTACAGGGTCAGCGGCTTAACTCTCCCTCTGGGCACAAGCTGAGCCATGTCCTGGCTCCCCTCTATCTATCTGCCAGATGGTCACTCTCCCTTACAGGGGTCAATAGCTTCACTCTCTCTGGGTGCTAGTGCACACCACGTGGAGCCATGCCCATCCGAGCCCAAGAACATCTGTACAGCGTCAGCAGGGCAGTTATACCTTTTCCAAACAATAGTGGCTTTGAGCCAAGTATGAACTTACACAAGCAGGTTATATAACAAGTGGAGTATACGCCTGTGACCTAAACTCGCTGAGTCACTCTGGCCTGGATATCCACCTTGGTCTATTCCTTGACCAAAGCACATCCATGTACTTTACAACAGGTGGTCTCCAAGTGTGTAGACCAGGGTCTCAAACCCAAAGGCCTGCAGGAGCCAAATGGGTGACATGGGCTTAGTGTAATACAAGACGGAGCCTATAGCAAATAAGGAGTACAGGCCTAAAGGGGCAGCTGCAACTCAGCTCCAGCCATGCAGGAATGCAAGCCCCATAGTGCCAGAATTTCTGAGTTTTCAAGAGAAGCCAGAATTCCAGATTTTTAAAAATATGAAATCTCTCAATGTTTAAATGTTGGCAACAAATTCAAATGTCTAAAAACACTTTGGAAACCAAAGTAAATGTGTCTGTAGGTGCAATATTGCCTGCTGGGCACCAGGCTGGGAACTTTGGAGTAAACAGGGCAAGGTAATGTCACAGAATATGGTCACATCAGAGCACATTGGTTCTAGGCCCCATCACAATTCAGGAGGCCCCCAGGGTCACCTTGAGTTCATGGCAAGTTGTATATGCCAAGCACCCCATCCCATCAGGCAGGTCCCACCTGGCACCCAAGGGCAAGGGGCCTGCCCTAGCAGAGGAGTTCTTGGGAGAGCAGCAGGGATGGGGCTTCAGCTTGGGCTTGAGGCATGGACTCTGACGCAGAGCTGACGTGTTGACCAGGACCTGCCATCAATCTCAGGTAGACCAGGCTAGTTCTCAGCTCATGGCTGCTCCACACCCTTCGGATGTCATTCTTCCTTTATGTTTAGGGGGTAGTCCTCAAGCAAATGTCTGCAGATGAGCTACTCCCTGGGGCTCCTGCCAGGACCCAGCAGGCTTGATCTAGCCTAGTCTCTCTGGATTCTCCCATTTCTTTTTGTTTTTTTCTCATTTGAGACAAGGTCTCGCTCTGTTGTCCAGGCTGGAGTGCAGTGGTGTAATCACAGCTTACTACGGCCTCAATTTCTTGGGCTCTAAGGATCTTCCTGCCTCAGCCTCCAGAGTAGCCGACTATAGGGAATGCACTACAATGCCAGGTAAATTTTTTTTTTTTTTTGAGACAGAGTCTCACTCTGTCCACCCAGGTTGAAGTGCAATGGTGTGATCTCAGCTCACTACAACCTCTGCCTCCTGGGTTCAAGTGATTCTCCTGCCTCAGCATCCTGTGTAGCTGGGATTACAGGAATGTGCCACCATGCCTGGCTAATTTTTGTATTTTTAGTAGAGATGGGGTTTCACCATGTTGGCCAGGCTGGGTCTCGAACTCCTGACCTCAGGTGATCTGCCCGCCTCACCTCCCAAAGTGCTGGGATTACAGCCGTGAGCCACCACGCCTGGCCAAATTTTTTAGTAGAGACAGGGGTCTCGCTGTTGGCTAGGCTAGTCTTGAACTCCTGAGCTCAAGTGATCCTCTCACCTCAGCTTCCCAAAGTCCTTGGATTACAGGCGTGAGCCATAGTGCCTAGTCGATTCTCTCTTTTCTAAACCTCAACGCAGGAGGTTGGAAAAGGAGTGGGTGGAGACCCCTGATGCAAGGTAAGCTCTAGCTTCTGGACATGACACCATAATTCTCAGAAACTCTCTTATGGATTCTCTTCCCTCACACCACCAACCAACGGGCACAGGGTCCCCAGAGACCAGAGCCAGGAGCCCCTTTCAGCCTGGAGGCACCCTGAGGGGAGGCACTGGTCTTGTGACTCTCTGGGTTGTCCCCATCCTTCTCTCTGGCCCCCGCCGAGGGGCACCAGGAATTAGCACACACCCTTCTTCCCTCCTGGGACCTGGGTGAAGGACTGCATTCTTCGCACCACACCTTCAGTGGACTTCACTGCACCTGCAACCAACCAAGATCCCTTTGCCTTTCAGGTGTCTGGGCCTCCTGCCTGGATTTCGGGAACCTCCCTTCCCATGTCCTTACGAGTCCCTGCAAACTAGTGTATGCTCAGGGTTTCCTGCACACAAATCTCTACGTAAGGTTACATGAACTTTCACTGGCTGATAAGGCCAGACCTCTGAGCCACAGGGCAGAATCAAGCAGAAGAAAACAAGTTGGTACCAGGAAGACATTTCCAGACCATTCCAGAGCTGGCTGACTCTTAATGTGGAAACAAGTTTTGGCTACAGACATTCAGGTTTAAGGCACATACCACAAATTACAAGAAGCCCTGTCACTGACAGGGAACTGGCTTTGTTCTCGTGGTTTCTGCAAGGAAGATGGAAGGAATGACTTTCTGGCCCTTTTTTTTTGTTTTTTCTAAAAAGGAGTGAGTTTGGCAGTAACAAAGCTCGTGACACACTCACCAGATGCACAGGCTACCTTCTCAGGCACGCCTCCCTTTCTCTCCTCAGCGAGGACACGGTGCTTCACCCACCCAGTCGCCCTCACCAGAAATGTGTATGCAGCAAACAGACTTGTATGCCTCTGTCTGGCAATGACTGTAAGAAAAGAAAATATGCCTCCAAATAAAAATATACAATTACATGACGAAATGAAGCCAAGTCTTAGCCACAGGCAAAGGGGAATGATTGCATGAGTCAGAAAAATGAAACATCTATTTTAGCAGCAAGAGGCTGTGAGGGATGGGGTAGAAAAGGCATCCTGAGAGAGTTCTAGACCGACCCAGGTCCTGTGGCACACTATACGGGTCAGGAGGGGTGGAAGACAGGCCTAAGCTCTAGGACGGTGAATCTCGGGGCTATTTGTGGATTTGTTAGAAACAGACATTCTTTTGGCCTTTTCCTGGCACTGGTGTTGCCGGCAGGTGGGCAGAAGTGAGCCACCAGTCACTGTTCAGTCATTGCCACCACAGATCTTCAGCAGAATCTTCCGGTAATCCCCTGAAGTATCTCCCTGGCCACAGAAACAAGGAAGACATCCGTTAAGGGAGGGACAGTCACTTTCAGCCTTCTGGGTCCTGATATTCAGCCCTGAGCACCCTTATAGGGAGAAAGCCCCACCCTGGGGAATTTTCTCCCACTGCAGGTCCTGCAGCAGGCGTCACAGACCTTAAAAAATGCAGTTCAGCCTTCTCCAGGCCCCCATCAGAAGACGGAAAGCAGCACTCACCCCAGCTATCCACATCAAATGAATACCCACAAAAAAAAATTATAATCATCCTAAAAACCACTTCCCAGGGCTAACCAATATTGCTGTTTTCCCAGTGCATTTATGCTGCCTTAAATTGGGGTTACCAATGTAACGCAACACAGTGTCCTGCTCAGGAAATGCAATCTCCTCACACATGACTGTCCAGTGGAAGGCTCAGACTGCCCAGGTCCCAGGGATCTCTCCTCTGTCTGAGGCCACTACACTTACTCTAAGAGTGCAGGCTCGGCTTGGCTCATTTCTAATCATTTCCTTCCACCCTAAGCAACTTGAGGGCAAGGCATGTGGCTTCTTCCAGATGTCCATAGCTTGCTGGCATGCAGGAGATACTCTGTAATGAATTATTAACTCTCTTTTTTTTTTTGAGACGAAGTCTCACTCTGTCACCAAGACTGAAGTGGAATGGCGTGATCCCAGCTCACTGCAACCTCTGTCTCCCGGGTTCAAGCAATTCTCCTGCCGCAGCCTACCTAATTAGCTGGGATTACAGGCAAGCCCAGCTAATTTTGTATTTTTAGTAGAGACAGGGTTTTACCTTGTTGGCCAGGCTGGTCTCGAACTCCTGACCTCAAATGATCCACCTGCCTCAGCCTCCCAAAGTGCTGGGATTACAGGCGTGAGCCACTGTGCCCAGCCTAGAATCACTAATTCTCTAACAACAGCTTCATTCATACAGCCAAGGAAACACAGTGAGTTTCCTGTGATGACATGCCCACCATCATCAAATGCTACTGAGTCTAAGGTGGGAGGACGTGGTCCCCATGGTGCAATTGCAAGGCTCATGTGAGTTCAGAATTTGAGCGTTAGACCACACAGCTGAGAATGTATTTTGTCAGACTGGCTCTGCCACACAGCGATACAACTGTGGCTAGTGTTTAATAGACACTTGACCTGCACTGCCTCACTCAATACTCACAACATTCCCAGGAAGGAACGATTATTTTCTCATCTTAAAGACAATGGAGCTGGGGTTCAGGGAGATTTAAGGGAGCCATTCAAGGTCACACAGTTAGCAAGTAGAAAAGCTGGACTCCAAGTGGCGTGACCCCCAGGGCCCTCGCTCTGAACGGCCTTACTATGTGGCCTACGCCATAAAGCTGAGTGCAGGAAGTGCTTTGTCAGGGAGTGACAGCAGAGCTCCACAGAGCCTTTGGGACATGAGTTCTCACTGACAGATCAAGGAATCACACGGTGATCGGAACGCTGAAGGTCACGGTCAAGGTTGGGGAGGTCCCGAGTGTTCTCTGATGCTGCTGGGGGATGCAAGGTGGGGGCGACAGCAAGGTCATGATCCACCTGCCCTCAGAAATTTATAATCTGTTTAAGGGCAAGGGGATGAACAAGTCCGAGGTCCATAATCAAGATGCCCACACACAGCACAGAGGCCAAGCATATGGCCACTCCAAGGAGGGAGGTTCCACAGGTGACTGAGATGCCAAAAGGGAGCCCAGTTGGCCTGCAGCAGGCCCGTACCGAGATGTCGTGGTACAGCGACTTGCCGTACATCCGCTTATACTCTGATCTGATGTCCAGGAGGTCGGTCTCGCTGCGAGACACCATGATGCGAATCAGGGTCCGGTCCTTTGTTCCTGCCCCCTAAAGAGAGTCCACCCAAGAGCATGAGCACCAGGCCTCCTCACCTTCCCACCTGCCCTGGGCCCTCCAGTCCCCTCCCTACCCAGGTCCTCGGAACTCTCAGCTGAGATTTAGCTCTCCCCAGGCCTTCTGCCCTCAGCCCTTGGTCCCAGGCACAGGCGAGGCTAAGGTTCCATCGCAACCTGCACATGGAAGTTACATACCCTCATGGCCTTGTTGAGCCTCTCCGCAAAGAAGGCTGGGGTATTCTTGAGACATTTCACTAGAAGAGAGAAACTCGGCATAACCAGATCTGCAGAAAATTCTCAGCCCAAGCAGGGCATGGAGTCTACAAGTGTCCTCTTAGAGGCCCAGATGTCAAACCCATCACTGCATCCATCTTTTCTCCTCCTCCTTCTGTTCCAGGCTCAACTATCCCATGATCTTGGCTCCAGCTATTTGGAACAGAAACACGCAAAGCCTGGAAACCAACCCACCCTCTTTCCTGGCAACCACTGCGGTGAAAGGACCAAGAGTCAGAGGGGCGGGGGTCTTAGTGGGGCTAGGAGCTACACAGGGAAGCAATGTGGATGGTGATGAGGAACTGTGCTGCTGCTCAGGCAGGAGGGGCAGACTGGAGAGGCCATGACCGTCATGGAGAAACCGTGGCTGAGTGGAATGTGCATCTCCCTAGGCTTCCCAGGCCATGAGACCTACTATGGGGGACAGGCAGGGAAATGAGGATTTTCCATCTCTCCCATCCAGAAAGCTCCAAAAAAAGCATAATGAAAAAAGGGGCAGACTGATTTTCCCAAGTGAGTAGAAAGAGGGGTTGTGAGGGCCTCAGGGCAGGGACCCAACTCTGCACAGTGGGAGGGCCCTGCTAGAGGACATGGGCAATGTAAGAGGCACACCACCATCCTGGAGCCAAGCCAGCTTTCCTCAGCATGGGCCTGTTTCGCTGCTGCAAGTAAAAATCTTTCCACGTGTTTCCATCACAAACATCTGACAACTGCCTGCAGGGATGTATTTTTAGAGGAAACGTGGCAGGATATGAGTCATACTCCTCCGGGAGCGCAGTTGGATGCCCTCCCACTAATACCCACACTGCAGTTCCCTACTCCAGAGCTGCACCGCAAACACACACAAGACACCTCCAGGACAGCTAGGGGTTCAACTGCACAGGGAACCGGGAAGCAGCATGACTTCCCAGCATCTGGACACTCTGGGCTGAGCGATCTTGGATCCTGTGGTCCCTTCACGGTGTCACCCATCAGCTGGAGGACAGGCGAGCAGCCTGAACACTCACGATACACGTTAGCCCCTGGCAGGTGGGCGGCAAACCTGAGACACTTACCCACGGCCAGCATGCCCTCCTCCAGGTCCCCGGACATCTCCCGGCAGATGCTCTTCTCAATGTCCCGGCCTGTCATTCTCTGGTACTCATTGAAAACTATGGGGATGACAGAGGCTTATATTATGAACTGAAATGTGTCTCCCCAAAGTTCATATGTGGAAGTCCCAACTCCCAGGACTTCAGAATATAACCGTGTTTGGAGATAAGATCTTTAAAGAGGTAATTAAGTTAAAACATGCTGCTAGGGTGTACCCTAATCCAATTCGCCTGGTCTCCTTAGAAGAAGAGAAGATTAGGACACACACAGAGATCCCAGGGATGTGCACATGCAGAGGAAAGACCATGTGAGCACAGTGATTGTCACGAAGAGGCCACGGGAGAAACCGGCACCCCACTCTTGGATATCTGGCCTTCAAAACTGTAACAAAATGAGTATCTGCTGCTTAAGCCACCCAGTCTGTGGTATTTTGTCATGGCAGCATGAGCAGACTAACAGAGGACTCACATGAGGTGGCCTCTGCCCCAAAATCTCCCACCTGCCACTCTGCTCCCACACCCTGCACGTCCCCAGGCCTGCTAGCGCTCAAGGAAGTCAGAGTCTTCGTCACAAGTTACATGCACCACCTGATGTCCCTCCCTGTGTGGTCCCTTTCTCAGGACTGCCAATCTGCTTAACCAAATCGCACCTTAATACCCCTCCAGGGCCCACTCCCATGTACTCCAAGACAGTGTCCCCTCTTCTCAAATCCTCCACACCTCCAGTCTCTGCCATTCCTTGGCTTTATTCATGCATCCATCTGTCTTCCTCAGCCTGCCTGTGAGCTGAGGCCCAGCCTGCCCCAGCCAGCCTGGCTTCTTGCTGCTCACCTCGACCTAGGACACGCTAAGCACCCACAGGAGTGGATGGCTGGCTCCTAGAGAGACAGGTGGCATGATGGAGACCTTGGTCCTGACTCCAGTTCTGACCCAGGACATAAAACTCTCCTTCCCCAGCCTGAGTCTCAGCTACCATTTGCATTTTAAAGTTGTGATTTCTGCTCTGTGTGTATCTGTCTCAATTAATATCTTCTTCCAATCAGCTACTCTTTTCTCCTAAGTAATAATGTTTGTGAAGCCATGGGCTTGATGCACTACTTACATGTTCTGTACTCATTAAAAGAAATAATGATTAAGATGAAAATGCTTTCACTCAGGCTCCATTACAGGATAGTGCAGAGGTTAAAAAGTGTGCTCTGGGGTCGGGTGGTCTGGGTTCAAATCCCAGCTCAGCTGTTACTAGCTGTGCACCCCTACTTCCTCTACCACCCTGTGCCTGCTTTCACAGCTGCGAATGGGGAGAGCCACAGCGCCTGTCTCTGTGTGCAGCACAGAGCGGTCGCTGGGTTTTCACCCTCACTGCCCACTGGAGCAGCCCTGGCCACAGCCCACCAGTTGCTCCGTGTGGTCACCATCCTCAGTCCTTGCCTGCCACCTCACACTGGCCTCCAGGACCCCCTTCCTCTGCGTCCTCCTCCCTCCCTAGCTGCTCCTTCTTAGTCTCCTCACACCGGTGGGCTCCCCACAGTCTCCCTCCTGAGGGGACCTCCTGCAGTCCCAGAGCCTCAGATAACTTCAACTACCCATAGCTCCCTTACCTTCCACAACCAGGCCAGACCTCTCCTGACCTCCACACTCAGCAACCCAGCAGCCTCCCTGCAGCTCCACCCTACAGGCACCTAAAGCCAGCTCCACCTACAGTCCCCCTGTCTCAGTTGAGGGCCATTCTCCCACTGCTTGGCCTAAAGAAACCCTGTATAATCCTCGAACCCTCTCTCTCCCACACGTCACGTGTCCAATTCATCAGCAAACATGGCCGGAACCTGACACCTCCTCACCACAAGCCCCTATTACCACCATTCCTCCCCGGGTCCCTGCAGCAGCCTCCCGACAGGCTTCGCTGCTTGGCCTTGCACCCTTCACTCCATTCTCGGCACCACAGCCAGGGATTCTGCACAGCCTCCTCTGCTCAGGGCCCTCCACTGGCTTCCTCTTTTGCTCAGGATAAATACCCAGCTCCGGGAAGTCATCAGCAGGGCCCTCTCCCCTCTCTGCCCTCACCTCCCACTCCTCTTGCTCACTCCACCTGCTCCACATGGTCCCCCTTCACTGTTCTCAGTCGTGCTGGGAGCCCCAGGCAGGCCTCTGCCCCTGCATCTCCCTTTAGGTTTTTAAATCAAATGTCACGACCTCAGTGGGGACTGGCCCAAGCACCTCCCGGTGGACCCTACCATCACTCCCTACCTGTTTCCAGCTTGATTTTCCTCTACAGGATTTCCCATCTGATACAGATTTTATTTCATTGTTGTTTACTGTCTGTCTCCCCAAATGAGAAAGTGCAGCCCATGGAACACACTCTGCAGTGCCCTGCCCCCCACCGTGGCCCCACACCTGCTCCACCACCTGACAGACTGACCCATGCGGGAGCGCGATTTACATCTGTTGAATGAATGAGTAAATGAATGGCACCCAGTTTTATTGTTATGACTGTTTCTTATGCCAGGCTTTGGAAAACACTGGATTGGGTGCTCCCGAAGGACCCTCCCAACTCTGACGTTCCACATTCCCACGTACAAAGACACCAGGTTTCTACACCGGTAGAACCTCCAGAACTGGATGTTTGCCAGAACTCAGGAAACCCTCTGACAGTGTCTTTTAAATTCCCACCAGGGGGCTCTTTTGAGGAGGCGAAAGCCCCACGCAGGGAGGAACGACCAAGTGTTCCCATAGCTTTGTTTCCCCACAATCCCCTGACTGCCCTCATCTAACTGGCCTCTGAGGGACCCCAGCCTGCCTTACCTGCTACCAGGTGGGCCCGGCTCCGGGAGCACAGAACCGCATTGAACTTGGACTCGTCTGTTCCCAGGCGGTTCTCCCCGGCCGCATACAGCTCCTGGAGAGAGAGGAAGACGCACATGTGGCACAGGCCACACCCAGACCCCAGGCCCAGGTCACCCAGGAGAGCCTGGTAAACTTCTGAAGGTTTGAGCCTAAAGTATTTGCCAATTTGCAACCTCTGAACTAGATGGCCTCTAAAGTGCCTGCTAGGCCTCAGGTAGCAGCCCTGAAAAAGAGCAGAAAGCAGCAATCAGGGGCTGAGATCCCACAGGTCAAGATGAGGCCAAAGCAGCTCTGGACTGAGAAGGCAGAGCATGAGACAATTTTTGCCCCGCTAAAAGTGGCATGCAAAACTCTCGCTGGAGCAAAAGCCAGAGCCCTGAGCCCCAGGCGTGTCCAGCCCTGACTCCCAGAATGGGAATGGATGTTACCAGCCAGAGAGACACTGAATAAGGCAGACCCTGCAGGAGCAGCAGGTCTGAGACCAGGGCAGAGGCAAGTGCTGACTGGGCACAGAAGACCGAGCCAGGAGTATAGGCCCTTGTCCGGGCTCTGCTTCTAGCTTTCAGTTGGGAACAGTGCTCAACCTTTTTGAGCCTCAGTTTCCTCCTCCGGAAAAGGAGGACCAGCAAAAGGACCAGACCAGAGGAGTAGCTCTCCTCCAGCCCTAACAAGGGGGCATTCCTTGAGGTCTCATTCCAATCCCGCAGATGGTAGAGATAATTTAGACCACTGGCAGCTCCTGGTGAATGCCCTGCCGTGGATGACAAGAGCAGTGAAGGGAGACAGAGAGGTATGGCCAACTCCACCCCACCAGGAAGTAATGGCTCTGCCCTGCCATAATACTACGGTTGAAATTCATTAGTGGGAAACCCAAACTTTTCGAGAGAGTAGCTCAGATGCCTGGACTTTGCTTGGACTTTTCCCCTTTTGTCTGCAACTCACAAGAGGGACAACGACAGAATTCTAAGGGTGCTCAACTAATGTGGCAGCTGGTTTCTAGGCTCAAATCCTCAAAAACTTAATAAGCAAGTGCAAATTTTGCCCCTTTGCAAACATAATGCTATGTGCAACTAAACATGGGGAAAGTACGCTGTCACACAAAATCCCACGTCCAAAACCATGATCTATCAACTATCGAAATACTAATTATCTCACATGTTCCCTCCTATAGGTGGGGAAGCTGAAGCCCTGGAGGTCAGATTACCTGTTCTAGGTCATACAGTTGAACAGTTCAGCGCGTCTGAAACTCACAGCATCTGCAACCCACTGCTTATCTATTGTTCTTTCCACCCTAGGGTACCTCTCTCAGGAAGCAAGAAAGCGGGGTGCATCCCTGCTTTAGGAAGTCCAGGGGCTTGGCCATCACACTCACCTGGGCATCTCTCTGGGCGAGTGACATGTCCACGTTTGTGCTTTCATCACGGTTTCCCTGAAAGGAAGCAGGTGTATGGTCATGCCCACTCCTTCCCCATTTATTTTCCCTTTCCTCATTGCGGGGATCCCATCTCTTTGACTTCCATGGCTTGGGGGCCCCGAGCCCTGTCGTGGGAAAAGTACCTGAGAGAGAGAGATGAGGAGCCGCTGGAAGTGCCCTGATGTGTCGCTTCGAATGGCCTCTTCCAGGGTCTTTTTGAATTCTGAAAGGGAGAAGCAAGGAAGGTCCATCCTGTAGCTCTCTTTATGGAGCTGCCCATTGCAAAACACTATCAAAAGTGGGTACTGGGGAGAAAAAGGCTGGAGGTCTTGGCTCGGGCTCAAGAGAACAAATAGCCCATATGGCCCTCCAGGGATATACAAGCCTGTGACCTCCAGGCTGACCTGGCCTCTAGTCAGCCTTGGCCCAAACCACATCCAGGTTTTCCCTGCCTCTCCCTTACATTAGTCATTTGCACCATGTATAAACAGAAGGAAGGGCTGGGTCTTGGGTCAAAGCCCAAAGTATTGGGGGTGGCAGAAGATGGGTTGATAAGAAGGCCAGGAAGGAGTAAAAGGCCCTAGGAGAGAATGAGGCCACAGCCCCAAGAGCACAGGGATCTGCAGAGGGCAGAGGGCAGAGGGCAGAGGGAGCGGCCTCACCTGCTTTGTAGGCTCTGTTTAATTCTCGGATGTGCTCATTGCTGCGGGAAGCGAGGATCTCAATCAGGCAGGCTTCATCAGTGCCAACCCCCTGCAGGGGCAGAGAATACAACCAACCATGTGCTTGTTCCAGCAGCCTCACCAGCACTCGGGAAGAAGGGTGGGGGCTACGCTGCTGCCTTAATCCCAGCAACAGAGGCCCCTGACACAGAGACACACCCTCCAGCCACTCCCAGGCTCGAGGGCATCAGCTCTTCTCCACAGCCCGGGCAAGCACAATGACAGTGGCAGTGGTGATGAGTAGGGCTCACACAAAGGGGCATCCCCATGGATCAGAAAACTGAGCATCAGAGAGGGGTACTGGCTGGTCCGAGGCCACACAGTAAATGGTTGGGTTAAAATGTGGACCGAGGCCTGCTTTATTCAGAGTTCAGCCGGAAGCGAGATGACAACAACTGAAAAAAATGGGTAAAAAGCAAGAGAGATCCAAGTGGACATACGAAACCCTGGTCCTAGAGGGGATGGTGGAATGTCTGAAAACAACTAGGAAAAGGTAGGAACAACAAGGATGAATCGGACAACCACGCCAGGGACAGTAAGACCATAGAGGACAGGCTGGGCAGCCTGGCTTGTATGTTGGTTTGAATCCTGGCTCTGCAGCTTACCAGCTGTGTGACCTCGGGCACATTACTTAACCTCTCTGTGCTTCCAGTTCCTTGTCTGTAAGATGGGAGTGATACTAGGACCTACCTCACAGGAAAGTCATGAGGATTAAGTGAGTTAATGTACGTAGAGCACTTAGGGCCTGTCAGGCAGGACGTGCGACATTGTGTCAGCTGTTTCCTGCTACAGCTACTATTGGGTTACTACACGTTAGCCCCTCACCCAGTATTCCCAGCATGTCCTGAGACAGCATCCACTGTCCCCATTTCACAGGTGCTCAAGGACACACAGCTGGTGAGTGACAGCTGCCCCAAACCTGTGTGGTTTCTAACACTCCACAACCACCAGCTCATGACTCCGGCTGAAGACGGGGGCCAGGGAGATGTCTGGGTCCACTCCCTGGGGCCCCGGGCCATCGCCCTGCCTGATGGCCTCCTGACCCCCTCCCTAGAATAACACATGTAGATGTGTTTCAGCGGAGACCCCTCTCCTTTCCAGGCCACCACACTGAAGTCTCTGCTTCTCCTGAAGGAGGGAACATTCACTGTGCTTATCAGGCCTCTGAGTGACAGGCTCCTTCTGGGCTCCAGCCTGACTCATGGGATTCCCTTTCCAAGGGAGCTGCCTGCCCCTGCCTGCAGGGTGCACACAGAGCTGTGGGACTGCACAGAATGGACAGGACCCAACCCTCAGTCAAAACCCGCAGGACTGGAGGGAACAGTGAGTCCAAGCCGGGCCCGTCAGAACCTGCCCGTTTGGAGACCCTGCTGGTCTCTTCTGGAGCTGGGTCTCATAGTTATGCGGAGAGTGGTCGACAGGCCCCCTCTCCCACCCCACATGAAGCAGCCATGGTAGGAGAAGCACAGAAACTGACAGAAAAGCGGGCGCTCAGGAGAGACAGAGACCAGAGAGACGTCTGGCCTGGGCCCTCTTTACCCACATGACTGATTCTCCACTTTTGTTGTTCTTAAACCGAAGTGTGTTTCTGTCATTTGCTAGTAACAGAGTCCTAAAGAATGAGAACGATACCAACCATGGCCTCCTACCCCTCTTCTTACCACAGAATCGCAACCTTCAAACCCGAGCTCCCCCTTTTCTTTAAGATGGAGAGAGACTTAAGCCTCCCTGATGATGACTGGTGCGTCATTTGCCTCTTGGGGAAATCACAGGGAGTTCCCTTTTCTATAGCATGTGGACTCCAACCCAGGAAGGCCTGGGAGCCATACTGACAACAGCAGCTAATGAGTGGGCTAGAACACAGCACGCCATCCAGGCCTCCTTCTGGGCTGTGTGTCCACACGCATGCGCGCGTGCGCACACACGCGCGCACACACACACACACACACACACACACACACACGTACACACCTTGATGGCTTCCTTTATCTCATAAATGTCAAAGAGGACTGGGGTCTTCATCAGAGCCAAGATTGTCTTCTCAAAGTTTCCTGACAGTTCAGATTTCAGATCTTTGATCAAATCCTGATTGGATATTCAAACAAACAACCAACAAAAAAAAAAACAAGTCTATTTAAAAAATCCACAGGAAGTGACTAATAAGAGCCATATCCCAGATTTGAGGAACAGCAGCATGGACATCCCCCAGGGGCCTGAGAGAAAAGCCTGCTCTCAGCCCTGCCCCAAACCTCCCAAATCAGAGACCACATTTTACCAAGATGCCCAGGGGATCGGTGACACAATGAAGTTTGAGAAGCACTGGGCTAGAACACGAATCTAATCAATATTTACCGAATTTTTATCTTTCTAAGATTCAAAACCCCAGAAGTTCAAAATATGCTCATACACGCCCCTCGTACTTGGGCAGCACTCACAGCCTTTCCCTGCAAAGCTCTTACATCAGCTAAACCCCCCAGGGTGGTCATGAAGAGGGCAGGGGAAGGAAAATGATGTGGCCACAACCTCAGTGAGATGTGGCAGAGCAAGGGCTAGAACCCAGGGATAGATGTCTGGAGCCTCTCAGCAAACCTCAGCACCCGGTGGCATCCTTCACCTCCCAACGATGCCACCAGCTGGATGGGCAGAAGGAAATGCCCTCCTGCTCCTTACTGTCCATCCGGGAGATCCGGGCCCACCCAAGGAAAAGCAGGGGAGAGCAGGGCTGTGCTGAGCCCAGGACACGCCTCACTGTCCCGCGCCCCCACCCCGCAGCTCGCCTTGCCGTAAGCCGTCTTGAAGGAAAGTAGGATCTGCTGCCGCTGCTTGTTGGAGCGACTCCCCAGGCAGTCAATGATGGCCTGCTCATCCGTCCCTGGAGGAAGAGGCAGCAGGGGTGGGTCGGGTAGGGGTCATGAGATGCTCTGCAGCTGAGACTTCCCTGGCCTGGGCCCCTCAACTGTTCTGGGCATGCTAGCCATACCCCCACATCCACCTTCTATCACCACTGGGGCCAGGTCAGCGTCCCCCAGCTACCCCAGCCCACAGAGCCACAGTGAAACTGCCTGGGAAATAGGGGGCAGGGAGTAGGATTTGAGCCACCCAGGGTCTCTTACCGAAGCCTTTCATGGCCTTCCGCAGGACCTCGGCATCTCGCAGGGGGTCAAAGCCGGGAGCATCAGTGATGGTGCCTCGGCTTCCAAACTACTCGGACAAACAGTCTCAGGTAAGATGTCGTGCATGCCGCCTTCCCCACATTCAAGGCTGCTCCACCCCTAGACTCTGGGAACAGCCCTTTCTCTAAGAGTTGGAGTATCTAAAGGAGTCCACAGTCAACAATGCAGAGGACTTTACGCCGCGTCTACCTAACTTGACTGTTATCTGGCCTTGTGTTCTAGTACTGAAGCTTTTTCCTGGCTCCAGTGGCTGGGAGCTCACCTATAGCTGAGTCCTGATGCTGAAAATCTGCCCAGTGCCCAGGTCCTCCAGGGCTGGGGCTCAGGCTCCTGATGAAGGGCAGGTCTCGGGAGCAGGGGCTGTGGCCTCTCTCATCGATGCCTGGCCTCCACAGCACATGTGAGCACACATGGGTACTCCTAACAGGGCTGGCTAGCCCATGTGTCCCCTCCAGTGGATGCAGGTATTGAGCCTCCACAACTGTGCATGGCAGCCTGATGACCTCTTGATCTAGCACTGGTTCCCTCGCACTGTTCTCTAGACTAGCATCTGCCGGACTTCCTCCAGACCCTGATAGCTGCACAAACCCGCAAACTGGAACTTTCCAGGCTAAACTGTCTCCCAGTGGATTGTCTTCCTAGGGGCTGGTACAAACTGGTTATAACACAATTAAGAGGGCAGCTCAGGGAAAAGATAAGGGAGGGAGGCTGGAGGATGGCACAGGGTGGGGGAACGTGTGGGTATGGAAGGGAAGGAGGAAAGGAGACCCTCTGTCTAAAAATAGTCATTGAGCACATACCACTACCCCTGTGCTGGCTGGTTGGGCCACAGAACCATGACAACGAATTCTAGGCTCTGCAAACACGAACTGTTCTCCAAAATGAGCCAAGATCAACCCTGGAGGAACTGCCAACATTCTCCCTACCCAAAGGGAATTTTAATAATCCTCCAAAACCTGTCTGTGCCGGGGGGGGCGGGGGTGGTGCATATCAAGGGACCGAAGACAGCTGTTGAGCACAAAGCCTTGAGACAGGTGGCCTGGGCAGTTCTTACAAAACACACAGCCCAGGCAGTAAATGACACAGAGGAATAAGGAGTACTCGCCAGGGGTGTTCTGACCCAACTCGGATGTGGAGCGTCTCATCACACCAGGAGAAACAGGACAGCTCCCTTGGGCCTTAAGCAACACAACCCAGAGGTGGGGAGTCTGCAAGAAGGTGACGCTCTTTGTTTGTCTTTTTTTGTTTTTGTTTTTGTTTTAAAAACTGGGTCTTACTCTGTCACCTAGGCTGGAGTGAGTGCAGCGGCATGATCCCGGCTCACTGCAACCTCTGTCTCCTGGGCTGAGGTGATCCTCCCACCTCAGCCTCCCGAGTAGCTGGGCCTACAGGTATGCACCACCATGCCCAGCTAATTTTTTTTCTATTTTTAGTAGAGATAGGGTTTCACCATTTCGCCCAGGTTGGTCTTGAACTCCTGGGCTCAAGCGATCTGCCCACCTCAGCTTCCCAAAGTGCTGGGATTACAGGCATGAGTCACTGCACCCGGCCGACACTATTTGTTAAAACAAGAAGTGCAGCTGGAGGCCTGCGCCTTTCCCTGTCTCCCCATCTACTGAGCCATGTGTCTCCAGCCTTTGGGGCCCAGGCCTGGACCAAGGGAGGCAGTGGGCTGACACTCACCTGGGTTGGGGGCACAGCGGGGGTGACAGTCCCAGACCCCGGGTATCCTGGGTAGCTCGGCACTGGCTGCTGCTGCCCAGGGAGTGGCACTGGAGGCTGACCAGGGTAGGTCACTGGTGGCTGCCCAGGGTAGGCCCCTGGGGGCTGCTGTCCGGGGGGTGGCATGGGCTGGCCCGGCACAGGGGCCCCTGGGTATGGCGGATATGAGGGCATCCTGGAGGGTGGGTTTCCTCCTGGGGGTGGATACATCCCATAGGGAGGAACAGGCTGCTGGGCAGAGGGGGGCTGCCCAAAGCCGCCAGGGGGCACTGGTGGGTAGCCAGCCCCAGGGGCCCCAGGGTACAGGTTGGGCATGTTGGCTCCTCCAAATGTCCCAGACATGTTGGCCGCCTGCAAGGACACAAAGCAGAGCCTGAGGCCAATGGGCCCTGCTGCACTCCGTCCCTCCACCCTTTTTCATACCTAAGCCAAGTCAGTCCTCACAGCATCTCCGCTTGTGGAATATGAAGTACCGTTATACCCATTTCACAGACCACAGAATGAGTTTACTTGCTCAAAGTTACACAGCCAGTGAACAGTGCGACTCGATCCAAACCAGAGATCCTCATCCCCTTCTGCAGGGGAGATGCCTTCCCTCTCCACATGGTTGCTCCTCCCATCCCAGACCACCTGGGTGAAGGTTAAGAGCTCACTGCCCAAGAAGGTGCGTGGGTCCCATATGCAGGGTTGGGGGCATCCCCATCACATCAGCCTGCTACCCACAGACACCTCTGGCAGGCATGTTCAGGTGAATCTGCACTCACCAGGAATAAAAACCTAAATCCTTAGGATGGATAGCCTCCTACACCCTGCAAGAGCTAGACCCCCAGACTTCATTTCCCATCTCACCCCCTCGCCTTTCCACTTTAGCCACACTGGCCTCTCCTCCCTGTCCCTGAGCACCTCACACCCCTTGGCACCTCAGGGCACCGGCATTCCCTAGACATCCATACAGCACTTCCTTCCCCTGATGCAGGTCTTTGCTCACACATCCTCTTTTCAGCCAGACCCACCTTACTGCTAACTTAAAATCATTATCCTTACATCACCCCACCCCCACTCCTGACCCCTTTACCCTGGTCAACTTGTTCCTATGGCACCTACACTTTCAATAACATCACATCGTTGACTTAAGGTACTGCCTGTCTTTTCCCCATAGATGATAAGTGCAGCACGGCTGAGATTTTTGTTTGTTTTATTCACATATCCCCAGTGCCTAGAACTGGGCCTGGCACAAATTAGGGTGTGTATTGGTTGCATAATTTCCTCTAAGCATACGTTTGTTTTCAAATCATAAACTAAGCATACGTTTGTTTTCAAATCATAAAATGTATTATTTTAAAAGTGAAACAACAAATTTAAAAAGTAGCATGTCTGCCCAAGATACCTGCCACACACCCACCAAGGCCTAACCAGAAGAGCCCTCCATATGTACACACATGCACATGCAGGTATATGAATGTGGATACTCATACATAGCACGTGCATGCACACTCATGCAGATACCCTCGCCACCTTCCCAACCCTAACCCCTCAGGGCTGAAAGGGACCTGTGAGATCATCTGGTCCCCTTCCCCTCATTTTACAGATGGGAAAAGTGAGACCCAGAGAGGGGCAGAGAGCAGGTGGCAGAAGCCTGATGAAAACCCTGTTCTAAGGTACAGCTCAACACACTACACACCACAGCAACACACACATAGACAACTCTGGAGCCCCAGAGGCCAGCAGCTTTGATTCCTCTGGCCACGCAGGTGTGGCCCCAGGGCTGCCTCAGCAGGAGAGCTGGACTCACCATTCCCGAGAGATAGTCCTGGTTGAACTGCCCCGCATAGGTGGCCACGTTATCCAGCCCGATGGGGGGCATGCTGGGCGGAGGAGGGTAGGCAGCACCTCCCCAGGGACCACCACCTGAAAGCAACACCAAGCCCTTTAGCCCCCTGCCAGTCCCCCACCACACGGGGAAAGGCAGAGATGAGAGCTCCCAGGTGGTCAGAAAGGGAGGCCCAGTAAAGCCTCGAGCCTCGAGCCTCGGGACACCACAGACCACATGAAAACACCAGGAGGAAAGTCTCCCCCTATCCCACTGGCAGAGGAGGGGAAACCTTCCCCTCTTCCCAGGGAGGAAGGTGGAGTTCCCCAAACACTCCCAAGACCCTCTGTGGGGTATTAAGGAGGCTGGGAGAGCCCAGGCAGGCTCTGCCCTCCCAAGTTCACCATCATGGAGCAGGAGGACAGACAAGGACAGACTGTTGTGGGACACCATGCTGAGCCCATGACAGAGGTGACCATAGGGAGCTCTGAGATTTCAGTAATGCGAAGGCACTGGCGGGAGGGGGTTTGGCTGTTTGCTATTACAAGTCTGTAAAAGGCAGGGAGAAGCAGGATAAGAGGCTGGAGGGACATGGGGCTGGGTCATGGTAAACACAGATACCAGTCCACAAGAGGACAGGAAGAAACAGAGGTGAAAAGCCCGCTCTGAAACCAGCAGGACCGGTATGTGCCCTGGGGCAAGGCTTTCACCCTCCTTAGGCTTGTTTCCTCAGCTTACAAATGGGCTAATGGTGAGTGTATGCCTAGACTGCTGTGACGAAGACTGAGTTAACACCTGCAGGGCTCAGCTGGGTGCCCGATGGGCATTCGACATCATCATGGGGCCTCTGGCCTGTTAGATGCTTTCCTCTACATGGCAGCTTCGGATCGGCTCTTCATCTCCAGGGCTCCAGACCCTCCAGGAAGAACCTTCCCTAAATTTCCTGCCTCCTCCTCTCTTGCTGCTCAGAGGCTGCTCAGCTGTGCTAGCAAAGGTGGCAGTGGCAGGATCTGGATGGCAGGATTTCTACTATAGAGAGAGAACCCAGGCCAGTGCCAGCCAACCTGGGGTGGGCTCATTCAGAGGGCAGTGGCCCAGCTCAGCCCCTAACATGCCCTGGGACAGCAGCTGAGCCACCTCTAGGTCTGAGTCTGTTCTTCACCTGCTGAATGGGAGGGAAGGTAAATGGCCTGCAGGTCTGGGGTGTTCAAACCACAGGACCTCAGCTCCAAAGAAATCAATGATGCCTAGGAGTCCCCTGGGGAGAGGGGCAGCGGCTCAGGCACCCTCAGGATGACCAGCCTTGGAATGACCCTTTTCTCCCCTTGGTCTCATGAGCCCTCATATTTCCTTTCCCACAGTGGGGACCAAATCTCATTTGAGGACCAAAAGGGGCCAGGGCCAGAGAAGACGACTTCTCCATGTGACTACCCACAGCTCCTGCAGAAAACAGGGAGTGACCTTTGACCCTTAGCATCTGCCTCCACTTCCTCTCTTGGCAAGGGGGATCTTGTTGCTGCAAACCCACACACCTTGAGCAGAGGGTAGGAGAGGTGGTAAGGGGCAACCATCACCTAGCAATGCTTTGGAGGACACCGTGTCGCTCTGCCTGCCTATCTCATCAGTATCCAGGACCACCTAATGAGGGAGAAATCCTTGAAGCAATTTTGCGGAGAAGAAAACTGAGTCTCAAAGTGACAGCATTTGCCCACTGTTACTAGAGAGTAAGGCAAGAGACCCAGCCCTGGGCCTGGTCCAGGGCTTTCTGGAGGCAGTTTCAAACCTAGGCCTCCGATGGCCTTAGTGTCATGCTCTTCTCCAGCCCCTGCCTCGGCTGGCTGTCCCACTACTCCTGTTGTCCTCTCCTCCCCTGCTGGGCCGTGCTGTGAGGGGAGGAGGGGAGTGAGGAAACTACTGTTCTCCCCTCTCCACTCCCAGCCACTGTACAGAGGCAGCATTCACTCTCCTCCCCACCCCAGACCCTCTTACCTGGTGCAGCTGGTGGGTAGCCACCTGGGGGCGGGGGATAGCCAGGGTAGCTCATGGTTAGATCTGGAAGAGAAGACGAAAGCACATTCAGGCTCTGCCTGAGAGCCCCTGCTGGCCCGTGGGACCCAGCTTCTTGAAAGGGCAGCCACCACCACAACTGGGACCCTGCAGAAGAAACTGCTGCATCTGCCCTGCTTGTCGCAGACCAGTTCACTGTCTCCTGCTGGTGCCTCCAGCTAGAAACAGTACCCACCAGCATGCTGCCTGACTTCTGGGCCAGGGCCACACCCCCGGCCCCACCCACAGTGACAGGATTCACTCCCCATGAGCCAGTTTCCTTGAAAGGCCCTCTCACTGAAGCTTTGCTCCTGCCTCTGCTGGCAAGGGTGCAGTGCGCCTCTGGGCCTGTTCTCCCACCTCAGAGGTAGAGACGCACTGCCTCATTCTCAGGACTCCAGGTCTGTCTATTTATCTTCCTGTGTCCTTATTGCCATCCCTCCAGCAACAGGGGAAGTCAGAGGCCCCTGTCTCTCTTCATTCTCCAACCTCTGGTTCATCAGGCAAGGGGACCTGGTAAGGTATGGAATCATCGTTCCTAGAAGCAAAAAGGGCCCTCAGGAGGTTCATCTGATGCAGGGTGAAGAACCAGGGCAAATGAGGCAGCATCACCCTGTTTCTGCAGTAGAGGCTGCTGATTAAGAGAAGTAAGTGATTTGCAGATCTGTCAGTAAGGGAGGAAGAGCAGCCTGGACAGGTGCCAGGTGAGACACCTGCTCTCACGAAGTCCCTCTGAACACGGATCCCTTGGCAATGTCCCCTGCCAGTTAAATTGTGAGGAGGGACACAGATCTGCTGTGACACCAGCCACATTGTGCAACCTGCCTGCTCTTGCTAATAGCAGCTGCTGCTGCAGTCTGCAGAGACACCCAATGGCAGGCGGACATGTGAGGAAACCTGCAGGGTCCCTCAACAATCACACCTGCTCGTCTCGAGTATGTGGCTTCTTTTTACACACTGGGTTTCACGCTGCAATGCATATCAGAATCACCTGATGGGATTGTTAAAACACATTGCTGGGCTCCACCACCAAGAGTTTCTGAGACAGTGGAACCAGTTTTTGCATTTGGAACAAGTTTCCAGATGATGTTACTGGTCCAGGGAACTCACTTTGAAGACCACTGTTCTAGCCACGCTATCCAACTATAAGAGTCTAGCTGCCCTTCATATCTATCTTGAAGAACTGGGCATATTGGGTTTTGTTTGTTTGAGACAGGGTCTCGCTCTGTCACCCAGACTGGAGTGCACTGGCACAATCATGGCTCACTGCAGCCTGGACCTCCTGGGCTCAGGTAATCCTCCCGCCTCAGCCTCCTAAAGACATGTGCCACCACACACAGCTAATTTTTTTTTTTGAGAGTCTTACTATGTTGCCGAGGCTGGTATATGCTGTTCTTTTTAAGTTTTTTTATTATTTATTTTTATTTTTTTGAGACAGGGTCTCACTCTGTAACCCAGGCTGGAGTGCAATGGTGTGATCTCGGCTCACTGCAACCTCTGCCTCCTGGGTTCAAGTGATTCTCCTGCCTCAGCCTCCCAAGTAGCTAGGATTACAGGCGCCCGCCATCATGTCTGGCTAATTTTTGTATTTTTAGCAGAGACAGGGTTTCACCATGTTGGCCAGGCTGGTCTCGAACTCCTGACCTCAGGTGATCTGCCTGCCTCGGCTTCCCAAAGTGTTAAGATTACAGGCATGAGCCACCATGCCTGGCCTACTTTTATTTTTTAAACAGCGTCTCACTCTATCACCCAGGCTGGAGTGCAGTGGTGCGAGCTCAGCTCACTGTAACCTCCGCCTCCTGGGATCAAGGGATTCTTGTGCCTCAGCCTCCAACAGGAGGGCGCAACCATCCCTGGCTAATTTTTGTATTTTTAGTAGAGATGGAGTTTCGCCATGTTGGCCAGGCTGGTCTGAACTCCTGGCCTCAAGTGATCTGCCCGCTGCGGCCTCCCACAGTGCTGGGATTACAGGCATGAGCCACTGTGCCCAGCCTACATGCTGTTTTTAAGGAAGCTAAAGAACTTCCTTAAGGTACCACCGGTCCCCATAGGGTGGGCCTGGTTTTCAGCCCTACGGGTGTAGTCATTTGTTTGGGTCAGTGGGTCCAGAGGTGACCGTAGGCAAAGCCCTATGGCTTTGGAGAAAGCTGGAATTGGCTCCCTGTAGTGTGGACCAAGGACCTACTCCTTGCAGTTTTCGGTCTCTCTGAGCCCCTAAGCACGTGGTGGATGAGGTCCCCGGTGGCATCACCTTCAGAGAGGGTGTCCCTGAGGCTGGGTGGGCTGTCAGTACAAAGCCCTCCCCGTCCCGGCCCCAGCCTGACCCTTCTGCCCAGACTCTGCCAAACCCTCAGACTTCACTGGTGAGGAGGTAATCTGGGGGATGTAAATGACCAGTAGGCCAGGAACCTTCTAATAGAAGGAACTGCCCGACAGGTGAGCAGGAAGAGCCGGGATGGTGTCTCTGTCACCTTCCTCTCTGGAGACACCACTAGGCAGGACCTTTGAGCACCAAAGACACTCTCCACTCCTGGCCTCCTCTCAGAGAAATGAAGCCAAAAGCTCCATCCACAGCCAGGCCAGGGAAAAAACCCAAGAAACAGAAGCTGGATACCACCCTGTTCCTTATACCAAGTAAATTCCAGCCAGGCCAAATAATGCAGTGAAAGAAGTAGCCCCAAAAACCAACGACATAAATAAAATTTCAGCATAAGAGACAAATTAAAAAAAAATAAAGATGAGAAAAAAACTTAGGAAAAAAGTTTTATTAATATAATAAGAAAAAGATCAATAACCACTAGAGAAACTGTCAAATGATGTGAACAGATCTGGCAGTTACAGAAAAGGAGCTGAAGATGCTCACCTTCACCAATGTGCTGAGGAAATCACCAATTAAAAATACACAGATGTCGGCTGGGCGCAGTGGCTCATGCCTGTAATCCCAGCACTTTGGGAGGCCGAGGTGGGCAGATCACCTGAGGTCAGGAGTTCGAGACCAGCCTGGCCATGGTGAAACACTGTCTCTACTAAAAATACAAAAATTAGCCAGGCGTGGTGGTGGGTGCCTGTAATACCAGCTACTCGGGAGGCTGAGGCAGGAGAATGGCTGGAACCTGGGAGGCGGAAGTTGCAGTGAGCCAAGATTATGCCACTGCACTCCAGCCTGGGTGACAGAGCGAGACTCCGTCTCCAAAATAAATAAATAAATAAAATACAAAGATATCAAAACTTAAAATGACATACCTTTGACTCAGCAACTCCACTTCTGTAAGTCTCTTCCCCAGACACACACCTGTGTGAAATGTCATACAGACATGAATTTTACTACAGCCTTATCTGCAACAACTCCTAAACCTCCACCAATGAGGCTGGTTAAATAAACCACAACAGATCCAACAATGGATACTCTGTAGCTATTTCTGGATTTAGCCAGCTCTGTATATGGAAAGATGCAATGACCACCATTATTAATCAAGGTGCAGTACTGTGTATGTACTAAGCTAATAAAAAACCCAGAAACATACAAACTAAGTGGTTCCTGAGTGTAGACGTGCACGGACATCCTTGGAATGACACACAAGAAACTAGCTAACACTAGCTGCCTCTCGAGAGGAAAGGTGGGGCTAGAAAATGAGGCTTCCGGTTTAGATCTGTTCCCTGTGCATTTCTGCTGCATGTATGTATTGGCCATTAAACAACTTTTAAAAAGGCCCAATTCAGGTGCAGATTTCTGAGCTCACTTGAGGCTAGCCGTCTGGCCCCCAAAGTCCTGGCTGGTCTTCCAAGACTAAAAGAACACACACAGGGTCCATTCAGTTCCAGGCAGCCTTGGTAACCCTGGAGGGCCTGCAGGCCAGCCTTGATGGCGCTCGTGGAGCTCATTCTTGGGGTGGCTTTTAAGGGAGTTCCCAGCAGGAGTCAAAATCTGCCTCCTGGCTAGGAGCTCTGCCCTGCATGGCCCCACAGGGCAGGTCGACCCCACTGTGAGCTGTGGTCCTGCGACCCTGGGTCTTCCCCTCTCCCCAAGATATACCTCTAGTCCTCCGTTCTTAGAAAGAATAGCCTCATTTTTCCCTCTGTCATTCTCTGCCTGAAATAGTTTCAAGCCTGCTCCCCACTTTTTTTTTTTTTTTTGAGACGGAGTCTCACTGTGTCACCCAGGCTGCAGTGCAGTGGCGCAATCTCAGCTCACTGCAACCTCCACCTCCTCGGTGCAAGCAATTCTCCTGCCCTAGCCTCCCAAGTAGCTGGGACTACAGGCACCTGAGGCACCTGCCACCACACCAGGCTGATTTTTGTATTTTTAGTAGAGACAGAGTTTCACTATGTTGGCCAGGCTGGTCTCGAACTCCCAACCTCAGATGATCCGCCCGCCTCAGCCTCCCAAAGTTCTGGGATTACATGCCTGGCCTGACCCCACTCTTATCTTTTAGTTCTTTTCAGGACCAAACGCCCCAGGTATGGTCTGAAGAGTGCAGGGCGGGACCTTCATCTCCCTCCAGTGGATGCTACTCCCTACCTCCCCGGACTGGTACAAGTGGGTTTTCAGGCCACGGAGACCTTATGTGGGCTCCTGTGAAATTTCTCCCCTGGGTTCTGCCCATTGCTCCAGTCTCCTGAGACCTTCTGGGATTCTGCTCAACATCAAACATCTTCCCCCTCTCTCTCAGCTTTGTTTTACATCCATGGATGCAATAAGCATGGCATTTGTGTTCTGCCAAGTAACCAAGACGAAAGGGACAACGAGGGACACTACAGAACTGTCATACTCAGAACTCCCCAGTTCAACATCAAACACTAGGCATCATGTGGGTGCAGGCATTTAACCAGCTCTCCCCCAACTCACTCTGCCACCACCCAGTACACATTTCTCCACATGCCCAAGTGAGGGTTCTAGCACATTTACTCTGAAGAGAGCCTGTTTATCTGCCTAATTACCCCCAGGAGAAAAGTAAACGCAGCCCAATAGCCAGGGGTGACCTTCAGGTGGACACAGGCTCCCAGCGCTGACCAATCTCCCCCCAAGCTATCCATGTTCTAGGAGGCTAGAGGCTGCAGGATTAGCACACTGCTCTCTGACTCACAGAAGCAGCATTCTTCTCCTCCTTTTCTTTGAAAATTAAGAAATCTGCTCATGGTCCAGTCTTCTGGTAACTGTGACCTCTGCATTTTTTCAAAAGAGGCTACCGCAAGGGGCTGTCCTTGGAGAAGTCGTTCCTGGCACCCCAGGGCTGCCATATCTGGGCTCGGCAAGACTTCTAAGGCCCTCGGGTCCCCCTCCCTAGCCTGTCCAGCACCCACTCCCCAGGAGAGAGGCAACACAGTGAGCTATAATCCAGAAGATCTGCTCTCTCTCTCTCTCTCTCTCTCTGGCATCCATGAGAATCATACCTTTCACCCTGACCAATGCCTCTCTCCTCCTTTCCTTGCATGGGGCAAGAGACATGCTTCACACTGCTGGTGCAATTCTGATGGCTGGGGCATGTCCCCCGCTCTACGCCTGCTTCTAATCACGGCCCTCTGACATGGGGACTCACTGGAGAGGGCCTCCTGCACACAGCAGGCAGCTGGCCTCCTTAAGGATGGGTCCAATTCTTAGAAACCTGTCTCTGGGGACCTTCTGGCCTCTGGTCCTGCCTCTCAGGGCAGGCTGCAGCACAAATACCGCCCTTCCTTCCTCACTGCGACCATCCACCTGCAGCTGTGCACCTGATTTCATCCAGCTGGGGCCCTCTCCAGTTAAATCGGTGCTTCTGGAAAACAGTCCCCTATAGGGCTTGTTAAAACACAGATTGCTGGGCCCCACCTCCAGAGTCTTTGAATCAGTGTCTCTGGGGCAGGGCCCAAAAAGTTGCATTTCCAGTGGCTCCCAGGTGATGCTGATGCTGCCTGCCTGCAGGCCACACTGCTTCATCATGCATGATAATCACCTGGAGAGCTCACTAAACATGCTAGCGCCCTAGCCCCCATATTCTGGGCCTTCTAACCTGGGATAGGCCCAGGAATCTGAAGTGTAAACAAGCATACATACCCCCCAGTCCCCAGTAATTCTGATGTAACTGGTTCTGTGGTCCACACTCTAGGAAACACTCTTTCCCTTAAGGTATTGGACACTCTCTAGCTCATCTGATCTCACTCTTTGACATGGTTTGGATTTGTGTCCCTGCCCAAATTGTAATTTCTAATTACAATACAATCGAATTGTAATTCCCAGCATTGGAGGTGGGGCCAGGTGGGAGCTGACTGGATCATGGGGGCAGATTTCCCCCTTTGGTGCTGTTCTCATGATAGGGTTCTGGTGAGATCTGGTTGTTTAAAAGCGTGTAGCGCCTCCTCCCCACACCTCTCTTCCTCCTGCTCCAGCCAGGTTAAGATCTGCCTGCCACATGATTGTAAGTTTCCTGAGGCCTCCCCAAGCAGATGCCAGCATCATGCTTTCCCTCACTTGGAGAGCTGGCTAAAAATGCTGGTACCTTGGCTCCCATATTCTGGGCCCTTCAACCTGGCATAGGCCCAGCCTGCAGAACTGTGAGCCAATTAAACCTCTTTTCTTTATAAATTACCCAGTTTCAGATATTTCTTTATAGTCGTGTGAGAATGGACGAATATACTCTTCTTCACAATAGTAAGCTCTAGGGACACAGACTAGACCTAGGCACCCCCACAGTTGTATGACAGATGCACCTGACAGCAATCACTTAAGCATACCCAGAACGACCCTATAGTCTAAGAAGAATGTGTGTTCAGAGTTCTGAGCTGAGGAACTGTGGCCAACCTGGAGATCCATTCCTTATCTATAAGGAACATCAGAACCCCTAAGCCATTCCATGGCCATACAGGAGATCAAGGCCCTTTGTTCTGCGTTAAATGAAGGTTGCCAGGTGGAGGTGGTTAGGAAGGAGGATGCTAAATTAAAATGCTATACAAACTGCATGCTTTTTACAAATAGTAGTGGTCCTTCCATCCAGCCTGCTGCCACTGGACCGCCCCATATGTAAGTCCCCTCAATAAGCCCTATGCCTTGTTCGTTGGCTCTGGGTCTCTTCTTCGGCCTCTCAAACATGGTGCCATCCCTATTAAAGTTGACAGGAGTCTGGCATGACAGCACTGCATCAGAAGCCAGCCTCAAAGCGTCTGGTGAATGCCAAAAGCATAGAGCAGCTATCTGGGGGTGCTTCTCAGTGGCTGCAAAATGGCCTGTTCCCTAAAGCCATGTTACGTGTACGTAAGTGTACCATTCAACTCCACAGGCTCTAAAAGGGTACTAGCTGGAGTCCCCTAACACAGGAATCTAGAAATGCTACACTGGGACAGGAGGCAACTGCCAGAGCAAGAAGAGCCTCACTGCCCCGACTCAGTCATCCCCCTACCAAAAGGGAAGCCTTGCTGTGTCTCTACCCAACAATTGGAGGTGGAGATATGGGCTCCAGCCACCAGCAAGGCTAGGCCATGCACATTTGCTGGTGTCCTGCCTGACTTCAGGGATACAGAAGGGAAAGGAGGGGTGGATGGTGTCAGTGCCATGCCTGGGACTCTGGACTGTCCTCCCCAGAAAGACAACACAGGGCTCATTTGGGAACAGAGCCTACACCAGGTTAATGCTGAGAGGCAAGGGCCTAGAAACATCATCTCGGGCCAGAAGCCACACAGCAGTGACACCCCCTGCCCCTCAGGGCCTAACAGCAAACCAAGCAGACCGGGACTACAGTGGATGCTTTCATGGAGTGATTTTCCACTGGCCTTCCCCAGTCTGGTGGCTGGAATATTGATTTGTATATTAGTTTTTTTTTTTTTTAACATTAGATCCTTAACCTGTTTTTACACACACACACACAATTTATTTTTTAAAATACTTTCCCCATAAGGTTGTATCCATAAAATTTAAATATATCATTGCTATTGTTTAAATGTATCCCCCAAAGTTCATGTGCTGCAAACTTAATGGTCAATACAACAGTTCTGAGAGGCGGTACTTTTAAGAGGCTCTACCCTCACGAATGGATTAATGTGTTATGGAGGAAGTGGGCTCCTTACCACCAGTGTGTTTGTTACAAAAGTATAACATGCTCTCTCTTACCCGCATGATGTCTTCTGCCATGTTATGAAGCAGCAAGAAGGCCCTTGCCAGATGCAGCCTCACGATCTTCTCAGCCTCCAGAACTGTGAGCCAAATAAGCTACTATTGCTTATAAATTACTCAGTCTGTGATATTTTGTTAGAGCAGCACAAAATTAACTAAGACAATAGTTTAAACCAGGCAGGTCCAATAATCCCTGCTGATATATTCTTTAAAATGACAAGATGAGGCCAGGCACAGTGGCCCATGCCTATAATCCCAGCACTTTGGGAGGCTGACGCAGGCAGATCATTTGAGCTCAGAAGTTTGACACCAGCCTGGGCAACATAATGAGACCCTGTCGTTACAAAAATAAAATACAAAAAAATTAGCCGAGCACCATGGCATGCGACTGTGGTCCCAGCTACTCTACTCAGGAGGCTGAGGCAGGAGAATCATTTGAGCCTGGGAGGTGGAGGTTGCAGTGAGCCCAGATCACGCCATTGCACTCCAGCCTGGGCGATGGAAGTGAAACCCTGTCTCAAAAAAATAAAAAATAAATAAATAAAATAAAATGAAAGGAAGGAAAAACAAGCCATAGAATGGGAGAAAATAAATGCAAAAGACATATCTGATAAAGGGACTATTATCCAAAATATACAAAGAACTCTTAAATCTCAACAAGAAAACCTTACGATTTAAAAAATAGGCAAAAGACCTGAACAGACACTTCACCAAAGAGGATATAAGGTGGCAAATAAGCATATGAAAAGACGCTCAACATGTCATTAATAAATTGCAAATGAAAACAATAAGATACTACTATACACCTATTAGAATGGCCAAAATCCAAAACACTGATAACACCAAATGCTGGTGAGGATACAGAGCAACGGGAACTTTCATTCATCGCTGGTGGGGATGTAAAGCGGTATAGGCACTTTGGAAGACAGTTTGGTGGTTTCTTACAAAACTAAACATAGTTTTACCAATGATCCAGCAATCATGCTCTTGGTATTTACCCAAATAAGTTGAAAACTTCTGCCGCACACAAAACCTGCTCATGGACATTCACAGTAGTGTTATTCATAATGGCCAACAATTTGGAAGCACCCAAGGTTACACACTGTATAATTCTAACTCTACGATATTCTGGAGAAAGCAACTATGGTGACAGCAAAAAGATGAGTAGTTGCCAGAGGTCAGGGGAGGAAAGAATGAATAGGTGGATCGATGTTGCTTCCCTGATTGTAACAATATACCACTGTGGTGGGAGTGCTAATGGCGGGGGGTGCAAGTGTGGGGGCAGGGGGACAGGGAAACTCTGTGGTTTCCACTTAATTTTGCTGTAAATCTATAACCACTCTAAAAAATAAATTTTATTTAACAAATAAAAGGAATACAAGCACACTGTAGGGAAATTCAAACAGAATAGAAACACACAAAATGAAAAGCAAGCATTCTTCCCTCTATCCTTGTACACAAAGGTCACCACCAAGCAGTTTTCAACGTACAGTTTAAAACACACAGAAATGTATAATACATGTATATATATTTACATAAATATATAAATGTATATGCATATGTGTTTATACATGCTCAGATATATGTACATTTTGTTTTGGCTTTAAGTTCTGGGATACATGTGCAGAACATGCAGGTTTGTTACATAGTTATACATGTGCCATGGTGGTTTGCTGCACCTATCAACCTGTTACCTAGGTTTTGAACCCCGCATGCATTAGGTATTTGTCCTAATGCTCTCCCTCCCTTGGCCTCCCATTCCCCATATATGTACATAATTTTTTTAAAAGAGGAAAGAAACTGACGCATCTGCAAACTCTCTTCACTCCGGGAGAAGGCTCGGCTCTGGTTAAGTAATGTCTCAGGTGATAATGTGATATAAGAAATATATATCTGGCAGTCTTGTGGGACTGAGCCCTTTAACCTATAGGGTCTGCAGTGACTCCAGTTAGGGTCAGAATTGAGCTGCATTATAGGACACCCAGTTAGAGTCAGAGAATTGGTCAGTGTGGGGAAAAAAAACACACATCTGGTCGCAGGGTGAAGTGTTGAGAGTTTTGCTTGGAGTTTTCCTTCTTAGTTCACATTCCGACCTGGTGCCCCTCCTGGCATGGGCTGGGGAAATGAAGACTTACTTAGCCCTGAGCTGATGTGAGTGGCTCACGACCTCCACACAGTGCCCTGTGAGTGGCTAGGCACTCGTCCCAGGTCACTGGGCAGGAGAGAGGGAGGCACCAGGCTAGAGCAAGGTGCAGACAAGGGCCTGGAGCCCAGAACTCAAGATGGAAGGTCTAAGACGAGGCAGAAACGTCTACTACGGTAGTCCTGTTCCAAGGATCTCAGCCAGAAAAGGATCTCAGCCAGCAACCTGAGGCCAGGCCTCCTCTCCCAGACCTCACTTGACCCATGGGCAAAACCAGGGGCAACCCTTTTTGAGGTCCTTCCTTCCTCTGGGATCTCAGGATTTCTGAAGGGGGCCTCTTTCAGCTTTCACCCCAAATCCTAGACTTACAGACTCACAAAATGTCCACATTGGAAGGGATCATGTTCTAACTTCCTCAGCTTTGCAGCTAAAATACACCAGGGACATGGCTTGCTCACATCACACGGGTGTGGCGGAGAGGGTCCATGGTAGAGCTTGGCCTGCAGGCAGCTGACGACAAAACCTGACATCCCCTCACAGTGCTGCATTGCAAAACGTGTGCCACTTCTGTCCAAGCTGAGCTGGCTTCACTGGTGGTCCCAGTGGGCCCTGCCCTTGGCAACCTACTTGAAGACCCCTCCTCCAAGGGCAAAAGGAGACAGTGCAATAAGCATGCTTTAAACAAGGGTCTGCCAAGGCCACTCCTCACAGCCAGAAGGTTCCAGAAACCCTCAGTGCATCAGCTCACAGTTCCCCCATAACTATGAAGACGAGGGAAGGCAGATAGAGCCCAAGCTCTGCCCCACACACCCCTTCAGTGGCAGGAGCTGGCCCCAGGGGACCATGTACCTAACTGTGGCTGTGGAATTCCATGGAGTGAGCCACAATCCTAATTAATCCATTAATCACAGAGGCGGTGATTAATAATGGTCGACTTTTTTCACAAAGTTTTGTTATGGAGCACATATATAAAACAGAACAGTTTAATAAACCATCATCCCTCAGCTTCAACAATTATCACCTCAAGGCCCATCTTGATTCATCCCGAACCCCACCCACACCCCTGTATTGTTTTGAAGCAAATCCCAGACATCATATATTATTTCATCTGTAACTGTTCATATCTCTAAATGTTAGGAACTTTAAATATAAATACATACAGATGCTCCTTGACTTATGATAGGGTTACATCCAAATAAAGCCATCATGAGTTGAAAATGCATTTAATGCTGGCAACACAGCAGTCCCCAACTTATGATGGTTCGACTTATGATTTTTCAACTTTATGATGGTGCAAGAGTGACATGCACTCAATAAAAACCGTAGCCTCATTGTAACCCCATCAAAAGTGGAGGAGCTGGTTACATCCCTTCTGAAAGTGATGTAACCCCATCATAAAGTTGAAAAACTGTAAGTTCAACCATCTTGAGTCAGGGACCGTGTGTGTGTGTGAGAGAGAGACAGAGAGTGTGTTTATATAACTAATACGAGAGAGAGAGACAGACAGACAGACAGTGTGTTTATATAACTATAATACAGCTGGGACTCTAAGTTGAGATCAGGCTTCTACATCAGCAAAAGACTCAGGTGCTGATTCACCTTAGGAAGAGTATGAGCTTGGAATGCTTGAGGGGGCACTTGTCAATACAAGAGGGCCAGAAAACCAACCTCCCCAGGACTCTTCCAGGACCACTGAGCTCTACCTAGTGGTGATGCTGCCAACCATCTGCAAATGTTTTCCAGAGTCAAAAATGCAGTCCCACAGCCTTGTTTACCACTGTTACCCCAGCATCTGGCTGAATGTGCACCTCATAAATGCAGCTTGAGTGGAAGAATGGATGGAGTTCTGGGGACTGGCCTCTGCTTTGCCAGTTAGTCAATTTTCTCCTTTATAACCTCTTCCTTCATTGGCTCCTGAGATTATTTAAGTATCAAATAGGATGTATTTGGCCTGCAGGGCAAGGAACAGCATAATAAACACTTATAAATCCAAGGATCTCAGCAAGGACATCACACTCCCACAATATGCATTTTGGCCTTCTGTAGAGCAGAACCCACCTGGTGCATGACAGTCAACTGATGGACAGCTTGTTCATTTTCACTATAAGTCTGTTTGCTTCTGAACACCTACCATCTACTGCCCCCAGAAGTCTTGCTCAGATCTAACCGGGATGCCCAGGCCTAGCTCAGCCTCACTTAGAAGCAGATAGAGTGATGGGCAGCTCAGTGCTGCCCGGAATGTGTTCCCTGACACCAGCTTCATATCTTACAAGTTGTGAAGTTAGAAGGCACGCAGTTTAAGGAGCGAGACAGGCAGACAAGAGCAAGAGATTAGTTGCCCGAAAAGTTTAGAAAATGCTTACTACATATAGTTATGTACTATAACTACACATCCCCTTTCCAGGAAACTGCCAATTTGCAACAGCGTAATAAAAGCTCTGATAAATCCTGTAACAAAAGTGCCTGCTTAACTCTATCCTCAAATTTCCCAAACTAATTAGGCCATAATAGTAGTTACCATTTATTAAATGCTTACTATGTGCCAGGCACTGTTAAGTGCTTCACACGGAACTGAACTTTATAACAACCCTATGAGGCAAATACTAAAATTATCCTTCTCATATCAGAAATGAAGACTGAGGGACAGAGAGGCTGTGTAACTTGCTCAAGGTTATAGCTATTGAATGGCTGAGCCAGGCAGTCTGCTTCCAAAGCCCAGACTTTACCACTACACTATACTTCCTCACAGAGCCCACTGGCCCCAGGGACTAGTATTTTAAGAACAGAGCTTTAGAAACACTGGTATGATGAAATAGCATGGAATTCAGAATCAGGATACCTGGCTTCTAAGTCCGGTTTCACTGTATGAAACTTCATTACATACTTCATTAAAGGTACTTCATTAAAGTACTTCATTAAAGGCAATGGAGGATGGTGAGAAGAACACAGACTCTGAAGCCAGACTACCCAGGTTCACATCCTAGTCCTGCTCCCCACCAGCAACGCGATCTTGACAGTTTACGAGACCTTTCTGCACCTCAGTTTTCCCCATCTGTAAAATGGGGATATTAACAGTTTAATACCAAGTTTGTTCCCATTATATCATGTAACATATCATGACATCCTGTTTCTCCAAAACAAAATAAGAAAGAGAGGACCCTGGGCTATTTGATAATGCCCAGGATGAGAACTGTGGGGACTGAAGGGGGAAGGAGGGGGGTAGGAGAGAAACACGGAACTGGGGAGGGTCAGGGCAGTGTGACAGGTGGAGGATGGGAGTGGGGAGCACACTGGCATGGCTGTGTTGGATTTTCCAGCCTCCCAATAGAGAAAGCACCAACAGGAAATTGGCGCTGTTTTCTTTCCATCCCCTCCACGTGCCTGGGTGTATGGGGGCCTGCTCCACTCCAAGAGTAGAGGGGACAGCGAAGGCAAGACTGATGGTGGAGGGAGGCCACCGGGCAGGGAGATATGAAAGACCCTCGGAGAGTAAACCTGCCTGGGAGAGGGACCCGCAGAGGCAGGGCCTCAGCCTGCATGAAGCTCCAACCCTGCGGGCACCAGAGCCTGTCCTCAGAATTTTCACTGAGGTGTGGCATGGATGGGGCCATCTTCTCTCCTCCTGCCTGCCTCTCCAGACCAGGTGCTGAGAAGGGGGATGGGGGCAAGTGAGGAGGAACTCACTTTCCATACAACGCAGACCGAGAGCACACAGCGTCACACGCAGATCTCTCCGTCACGCTCCTCCATGGCAGGCTTCCCTGGAAGCCAGGCCACTCCTCTTTGTGGGCAGAGTCACCTCTGAGGCCTGCCCACACCAAACAGGCTCACATAAGAGCCAATGCTCAGTCAAATGCTGAGTCCAATTCAGAATTTCTGAGGAGTGGAAAGTGGGCAGCAGAGGAAGAAAGTGACAGAGACACAGTGCTAATATCTGGCTGCCTCGCAGGCCAGCACGTGATGGGCACTCAGGTCCTGGAGGACGCTGAGGTTCTTGCAACAGACACAGTGGCAGTGACAGAAAAAGCCCCCCACCCAAGTCCTGACTCCAAAGTGTGGCCAGGACCTGCTATAGTTTGAATACTTCTGTCTCCCCAAAATTCATTTATTGAAATCCCAACTCCCAGTGTGATGACATTTGGAGGCGGGGCCTCTGGAAGGTTATGAGGTTGGAGTCCTCATGAATGGGATTCATGGCCTTATAAAAGAGATCCCAGAGGGCCCAACCCTTTCCACCATGTGGGGACACAGGGAGAAGGTGCTATCCTATTTGTGAACCAGAAAGTGGGCCCTCACCAGACACTGAGTCTGCTGGCACCTTCATCTTCAACTTCCAGCCTCCAGAACTGTGAGCAATGTACTTCTGTTGTTTATAAGCCACCCGGTCTATGATATTTTATTACAGCAGCTTGAACGGATTTAGACGGAACCTAAGGATGCACGCGCATGTGCGCGCGTGCACACACACACACACACACACACACTCTCTCTCTCTCTCACACACTCCCAAAAAGGGAAACAGTGGGTTGTGTTTATAAGTGCAGGTGGCAGGGGCGGGGAGGAGACACAGGTCTCTGTCTTTGTTTACCCACTTCCGCAAGGGGAAGCCACCGCCAGTTACACCACCTGAGCAGAGGGAGCTTCTGCCAGGGCCCGCCTAGGAGGGACCAGCAAAACAATGGTAGTGAGCTGATGTCAATTGGGCACAAGTCCCAGGGTGGCTGAGGCTTCCCTGTCAATCCCACCCCTCTTAGCTGTCAGGTCACTCCAGTTACTGCAAAGTCCAACCCAGCTTCTCCCAGATCTCCTGGGCCCACAGGGATGTGCCACACCCCAAGTCCTGTGGTAGTTACTATCTACAAGACAACCCTTGCAGCAGCTCTGCCGGAAGGAAGCAGAAACTTCTCTAAACCCTTCCCTCATTTTGCAGTGGGAGGTAAAGGGAAGCTCTGCAGCTCCAAGACACTGGGCCTGAGCCTCACTGACATTGGCTTTCACAATGTCTACCCCTAGATTCTTGGCAGGCTTCTACCACCCCCAATTACTCTCTCTCACACACTCTAAACCAGCTCCCCCATCTTTTCACGGCCCACACTCCCCCGTCAAGGGCCCCAAACATCACAGGACAGTCACAAGGGACTTCTCAATTCTGCTGCATGAGTTTTACCGCAGCCCACACAGCTCTGATATCATCTTCTAACACTGCTGCTAGGCCACTGGGATGGTACACAGGGTTTGGAGTCCAGTGACAATGATTCCATTCTAGCTCTACCTCTTGTTAGCTGTGTGACCCTGGATATATAGATTGACCACTCTGAGCCTTTCTCCTCACCTGTGAAAAGAGGAAAAATGCATCCATCTCATTACACAGCTGTGAGAATGTAGTATTCTCACATATATATATATATATATATATATATATATAGCACTACAACAGGTATTAGCACACAGCAGGTGCTCAGTTAATTTTAACTTAGTCCCTAGGAGGCATTAGCCTGGAGCCAAGGTCTGGTTCCTAACGCAACTGCTTGCTGTGTGACCCCCCTGGGCAACTTAACCTCTCCGAACCTCCATTCTATCTGCAAAGACCTGATGTACCCCACCTACCTTGGATTACTATGAGGACTAAAAGTAAAAAGAACAGGAACGCGCTTTGTAAAGCAGGACACAGTTATCTTCACTCTGTGACCAACACGCCTAGTGGCCAAAGAAGCCAGGCTCTGACATTTCGAGAGGGAGAAAAGGGTCACAGATCCTGGGCACACACTAAACTCAGGTGTCAGGCTCCCGCCAGGGGACCAGCCCAGCCCACACAGTGAGGGGAGTGTCCAGCCAACCCTTAGGGTCCCGGGGCCTCAGGAAAATGCTGGTAAGGGGAGGGGTAGAGGGAGGGCTTTTCAGAGCCTGAAACTCAGCTACCATCAGCTTCTCTGATTAGGTCCCTCAAAGACATCCCCGGTACCTGTGAATGCGTTACTTTAGGTGGCAAAAGGGACTGTCCTGAGGTGATTAGGGTTACCCGCCATGAAATGGGGAGACTAGCCTAGATTATCCGGGTGGGCCCAATCCAGTGAGAAGCGTCCTTCAAAGCAGAGAGCCTTTGTTGCTGGGTTAAGGATGAAAAGGAAGAATAAGAAGGACAGAGTCCAAGCATGAGAGGGATTCCACCCATGGAGGAAAAGGGCCAAGTGCCACGGAACTCAAATGGCCTCTAAAGCTGGAAAGGGCAAGGAAGCATTCACCTCTAGGGCCACCAGACAAAGACACAACCCTGCCAACACCTTCATTTTAGCACCATGAGATCCAAAAGACCCTGAGATAAAACTGTAAAGATAAAAAAACCATGTGGTAAAATAGTGCAGCCACTATGGAAAACAGTATGGAGATTCCTCAAAAAATTAAACATAGAACTACCATACGATCCAGCAATCTCACTCCTGGGCATACAGGCCGAGTACCTCTCATTCAAAATGTGTGGGATCAGCAATGTTTCAGACATTGTGGTCTTCAGACCAGATGACTTCAGATTTTGGAATACTGGCATCATACTTACCATTGTGTATCCAAAATCCAAAAATCCAAAATCCAAAATGCTTCAATGAGCACTTCCTTTGAGCGTCATGTTGGAGCTCACAAAGTTTCGGACTTTGGAACATTTCAGATTTGGGATACTCAACCTATATACCTAAAGGAAATGAAAGCAGGGACTCCAACAGACATTTGTATACCCATGTTCATAGCAGCCTCATTCACAGTAGTCAAAAGGTGGAAACAACTCAAGTGCCCATTGATGGATGAATGGATAAACAAAACAAGATCTCCACATAAAAAGAGAATATCATTCAGCCTCAAAACAGAAGAAAACTGACATATGCTACAATGTGGATAAATCTTCAACACATTATGCTAAATGAAACAAGCCAGGCACAAAAGAACAAATACTTCTGATTCCACCTATATGAAGTCTCCAAAGGAGTCAAATTCCTAAGGACAGAAAGTAGACTGCTGTTGGCCAGGGCTCAGGTAAGAGGGAATGGGGAGTTTACATTTCCTGAGTACAGAGTCAGTTTGGGAAGATGAGAACCTTCTGGAGATGCATCGTAATGACTGTTGCACAACGAAGTGAATGTATTTAACACCACTGAACTGCACACCTAACAGTGGGTAAAATGGTAAATTTTACGTTGTGTATATTTTTACCACAAAAAGAGTTGCATGGTTTTAAGCCACAAGTTTGTGGTAATTTGTTACAGCAGTAATTGAAAACTAATTATTGAAAACTATTTGAGGTGATGGATATATTAACTAGTTTGCTTTATTTCACATTGTATTCATAGATTATAACATCACTTTGTACTCCATAAATTTACATAATTATAAATGTTAATTTACAATAAATTTTTTTTTTTTTTTTTTTGAGACGGAGTCTCGCTCTTTTGCCCAGGCCGGACTGCAGTAGCCCTATCTTGGCTCACTGCAAGCTCCACCTCCTGAGTTCATGCCGTTCTCCCGCCTCAGCCTCCTGAGTAGCTGGGATCACAGGCGCCCGCCACCGCGCCCAGCTAGTTTTTTGTATTTTTAGTAGAGACAGGGTTTCACCATGTCAGCCAAGATGGTCTCGATCTCCTGACCTCGTGATCCGCCTGCCTTGGCCTCCCAAAGTGCTGGGGTTACAGGCGTGAGCCACCACGCCTGGCCAAAAAATTTTTAAAGAAAACTATTGGCCAGGCACGGTGGCTCACGCCTGTAACCCCAGCACTTTGGAAGGCCAAGGTGGGCGGACTGCATGAGGCCAGGAGTTTGAGACCAGCCTGGGCAACATAGTGAGACCCTGTCTCTACTAAAAATACAAAAATTGGCCAGGCACAGAGACTCATGCCTATAATCCAAGCACTCTGGGAGGCTGAGGCAGGCGGATCACCTGAGGTCAGGAGCTTGAGACCAGCCTGGCCAACATGGCAAAACCCCATCTCTACTAAAAATACAAAATTAGCTGGGTGTGGTGGCATGCACCTGCAATCCCAGCTACTCGAGAGGCTGAGGCAGGAGAATTACTTGAACCCGGGAGGTGGAGGCTGCAGTGAGCCGAGATCATGCCATTGCACTCCAGCCTGGGCAAAAAGAGCAAACCTCTGTCTCAAAATAAAATAAAATTAAAATTCAAAAATTAGCCAGGCATGGTGGCACGTGCCTGTAGTCCCAGCTACTCAGGAATTGCTTAAACCCAGGAGCTACAGGTTGCAGTGAGCCGAGATTGTGCTACTGCACTCCGGCCTGGGTGACAGAGTGAGACTCTGTCTCAAAAAACAAAAACAAACAACAACAAAAAAAACTTTAAAGAAAACTAATATATACAGTGACCATTCCTTCTCTTTCCTTCCAGATCCTTCTATGGCATTCTCTTTCCAAAGGCCTCTGTTCTCTTTGCATAAGAGCTCTGTGAACATGTCTACCTAACTCAGCCAGCTTTCTTCAACAAGGGAAATATTAAACCACCAAGACTACAAAAAAAACCCTTTCCAACGGCACAAGGAGGAACCAGGTGCTCGCCTCTCCCATGTGTCGGGAACAGGCTCGGCACAGGTGTGCTAACTTGAATTACCAATCAACATGAGTCACCAGGGGACTTGGGCCCTCAGTGGCTTCCGTGTGGCCAGGCTACGCATGCCCAGTCAGCATTTGCCCAGTCGGATTTGCACAGGCAGGGCCATCACACCCCATCAGCCAGGACCTCACAACCGGATGCCAGAGGCCAGCTCAGCACCTCAGAGACGACTCAGTTCACTCCCACCGACCCCACCTCACCCCATTTCACAAATGGTCACACTGACAACCAGAGAGAGGGTTGTGGCATGCCAAGGTGATACAGCAAGACCCTAAGAGGGCTGGTGCTGAATCCCCCACTCCCAGGCTAGAGCTCATCGTCCCCAGGGCAGGGTGGGTAGAGAGGCTTCCTGTCCTCAGAGCTGCTGGCGGACTCAGGCCCAGTTCTCTAGGATGATTCTTTTTGTTCCATCACGGGGGCAGCCCATGGGAGTTCAAGCCTGGGTTGCTGCTTCCTGCCCGAGGCAACAGCAGGTACAGTGGGAAGACCAGCGCTGAGGAGAGATTAATTTTGCAATATTGGGGAATAACTGCCTTCCAGGAAACACACCGAAGGGGGAAGAGATGTGATAAAATCCTGCCCCTCCTGTACATTTCACCTATGCACTCTAATCAGATTTTTATGGTCTCCCTCTTCATATAGACAGCAAAGGGTCACAGGACATCTGAGAAAGTCTACACCAAGAAAGGGAGAGACCAAAACAGAAGAAAAGGAACCAAAGAAACAGACAACGATGAGAAGTAGAGGACAAAAATATAATCAATAATATCCTCAGAGATAGAAGAGAACCAAAGAAACAGACAATGATGAGAAATAGAGGACAAAAATATAATCAATAATATCCTTAGAGACGGAAGAGAAAATGTTATATCCACAAAGCAAAAAGATCAGCAAAGCAATCATTGTGAAATTTGAGAAGAGAAGAGGCAGAAGATACTAAAACTTTAGAAAAGAAAGAACAAGGGTCCTTTTCAGGGGAACTGGAAGGACACTGGACTTCAACAGCCACACTAGAAACTAGAAGATAACAGAATAATGTGTTCAGTGTTCAGAAAGGAAATTATTTTCAGCTTATAATTCTATAGCCAGCTAAATTATCCACTACTGGATAGAGATATTTGGAATGGATATTTCTATCCATTAGGGAGGAATAGAGATATTTGCAGGCACACAAGCTTCAAAAACAAAAAACAAAACAAAATCTACCTCCCATGCACTTTTCTTAGGAACTTCTGGATGATTTCAGCAAAATGAGACATAAATAAGGAAAATAAAGAAAATAAAATATATAGGATCTAGGAATAGGAGAATCTAACACAGAAGACTGTAAAAAGAAGTCCCGGGACAACAGCTGAGCAGCAGGCCTGCGGAGCAACCAGACCAGTTTGGAACAATAGATACACAGAAAATCAGGCCCCCAAGGAGGGAAAGCATCCACCTGAGGAATATTGGGACAGGAAGGATTGTACTCCTAATGTGTGACCACGGCACATTACTTGCACAGCATCGAACAATACAATTTATGGTCACAATAATGCATACATTAAATATTGATGTATGTATTGGTTCCTAATCTACCAAGCAGGAAGTCAACATATTTCAAAACTGATAAATTAAGAAACAGTCATATAAGCCTATTAATTAAAAATAGTTAAAAATGATTAACTCTGGAGAAAGGGAAAGAGGAAGGATGTGTCAGGGGACTGCTGGCTTCATTATAAGCCTTTTGGATCAACATATTTGGCTTTTTTCGTGTATTATTATAAAATATTTTTACAATATAGCAATAAATACAACATATATATGAATTATAAAGCACAATAAAATAAGCATCCTTTATCATCTAACTTTAGAAAGAGAACATTACTTCTGCCAGGCGCAATGGCTCACATCTGTAATCCCAGCACTTTGGGAGGCTGAGGCAGGCAGATCACTTGAGGCCAGGAGTTCGAGACCAGCCTGGCAAACATGTCAAAACCCCGTCTCTACTAAAAATACAGAAAGTAGTCTGGCGTGGTGGCGCATGCCTATACTCCCACCTACTCGGGAGGCTGGGGCTGCAGTGAGCCAAGATCGTGCCACTGCACTCCAGCTTGGGCAACAGAGGGAGACTCTGTCTCAAAAAAAAAAAAAAAAAGACAGAATATTACTACATTCTTCTTCTTTTTTATTTTTTTGAAGAAGTCTCTTGCTCTGTCACCCAGGCTGGAATGCAGTGGTGCAATCTCGACTCACTGCAGCCTCAGCCTCCCAAGTAGCTGGGATTATAGGCATGCGCCACCACGCCCAGCTAATTTCTGTATTTTTAGTAGAGACAGGGTTTCGCCATGTTGACCAGCCTGGTGAACTATATTCTTCAACTGCTTTCTGAAAAAACAGGCATATATTTTTTAGGGGAAAGTTAAAATAAAACACTAGCAGCCAGTCTGTGAGACTGGTACCAACATCTGCAGTAGGTCCAGGTTTTGTGGGGCCTGAAGCTTATACAATTTTAGGAACCCTCTTCAGGACAAAGAATACAAAAAATCTTAGTTTTTTGCAAATGTTATAAACCATATGACTCTGTGAACTCACTGCTAGTGCCCCTCCCACGGCCCCTCACTAGGGTGCTACAAGTCCGGGGACCTGAAGCTTCCACTTCATTAGCTTCACAGCAATCCCACCTGGGTTTATGGAGGCACCAGGGGCTGGGCTACACCCCCTAGGATAGGGAAGAAAAAAATAAAGTCCTGGCCTGCATCATGCTTTCCCTCTAGCTAGCGAGATAAACACAATAGCGCACTTCCAGGGAAACACACACTACAATATTTAAGAGCCACTCCTAGGAAGAGTCGGGGGGGGAAGACAAAGAATTCAGAAAATGTGTTCCCTGGCAGTGGAGCATAGGGGCGTCTGAGAAACTGGCTTCTCTCTGAGGGGCCTTGGCAAATCTAAGCCCTCCCAGCCTCGTCTACCTCACCTATTTTCAATGAGTGCGCCTGCAGGGCCTCAGTGGTTTGCATGCTGCCTCCCAGAACCTGGGGCTCCTGAAGGTTTTGGAGCTCAATAGCATTATTTCATTGGAGGGAGGAAAGGGCTGCAAAAGGGAGACTCTGGCTTAAATCCTTCAAAAATATTAAAACAGGAGCTCTGGCAACAAGGGCCCCATATTTCTGCATGGTGACACTCGGCTAGGGCTGGCAACAGCTGCGCACCTCCCTCCCTCCTTCAGCTGCCGGGCTGTCCTTGCAGGAATCTGCATTTGTGATCACAGGAGTAGAGGTTTACCAGGGCCCTTCCAGTTGGTGTGTTATGAGCCATCTCATCTCCTTATGAATGGCCGGCACAGACCCGTCTCTCACCACAGGCTGAGGAAGAGAGGCGAAGAAGACTGAAGAGTGTGATGGCAGCAGTGTGTCCCCCAGCCTCTCCCGGAAAGGCCCTGATGCCCATCAGCCAGTCCTCGGGGCCTGTTCAAACCACTCTGGAAGCCCAGCCCCTTCAAGCCTGGGAGACTTAACAGAGTGTATATTCCAGCTCCAAATGGCTGAGCACCCCTGCTCTACCTAGAAGCCTCAGGAAACCTTTCCAAATATCCCTTATCAAGGTCTGCTCTTCAGATGGTGACAATGTCCCCAGTCAGCCGCATGCAACTGGAAGTTCAAGGACCTGCAGCTCACTCTGGAGGAGAAAACACCTTCACTTGGGAATGGGCTGACCCTTCTGCAGCTGGCATCCTAAGCTGTGTCAAGCAGTCTGGAGCCAAGAGTCACTCACACTGGGCCACTGAGGAACAGCATGAAAACAGAAGGTACCTCAGGGACATGCATGATGGAGAGAAGCACAAAAAATGCATGTCCTTAGCCCAGCCCAGCTCAGCACTTTCCCTTTTCAGGACACCTCTGCTTAGGTGGTCCCTCTAGCTGGTCTGACCTCCTGTCTCCTGGCCTTCCCTGAGTCCAGATGAAGTTCCACCTTGTATTAGTCCATTTTCACACTGCTGATAAAGACATAACCAAGACTGGGCAATTTACAAAAGAAAGAGGTTTAATGGACTCACAGTTCCACGTGGCTGGGGAGGCCTCACAATCATGGCTGAAGGTGAAAGGCACGTCTCACATGGCAGCAGACAAGAGAAGAGAGTTTGTGCAGGGAAATTTCCCTTTATAAAAGCATCAGATCTTGTGAGACTTATTCACTATCACGAGAATAGCACAGGAAAGACCTGCCCCATTCAGTTACCTCCCACCAAGTCTCTTCTACAACACGAGGGAATTCGAGATTTGGGTGGGGACACAGCCAAACCATACCATATCTCTTTCAGGAAGCCCACCCTGATCTCCTATCCACAATGCTCACTCTTCTTGGAACTCTCACAGCACTTGTCCTAAAATGTTTTCCATGTTCTCTAATGTTCTAATAAGCTCTCCTTTTTCTAACTCCTAGGATAGATACATATATTACATCCCTATATATTACCTCATTAACCTCCACAATGCTCCTATTGGATAGGTATTATCATCCTCATTTTATAAGCAAGGGAACGAAGGCTGAGCTGACTCTTGACATGCAAAGGTCACACACCCAAGTGCCAGAGCCAGACACTTTTTTTCTAGGCCTCCCCATGAGAGCATCAGTGCTACAGGCTGTAGGACAGGCCTCTCTTCCTGTCCCCCACCACCACCTGCCACAGGGCTGGCACTGTGAGGCCCTTGACACATACTGAATACTGGCAGGAACCCCGGTGGACTCTGACTCATTTCTTTCACTCTCTGGGTGGCACCTGTTTCGGTAGCCTCTATTACGTAGGCCCCAGGAATTCTGGGGGCAGGGAGGACACATCTAGGACATTCCCCTCTCTCCCCCACCTCAAGGCAGGACCTTAAGTGATGTGAGTGGGAGTATGAACATCTCCAGCTCTACTGAGAAGGGGGTGGGGGCCCTGGGCGTGCACTCCAGAGCCCCAATGTCCTGCCCTTGCTGGTCACAGGTGCCATTAAGTCACCGAAGCCAGCCAGCCAGCCTCAGGGCAGCACTCCACCAACCCTGACCATATTTTCCCAGGCACTAAACAAAAAGCCTACACAGGTGCTGTTAAGCATTCAACTCCCCACCCACATGCCAGGAACTAAAATAGCTGTAGCGTATGTTAATCATTAGCCAGGCTGCACCTCAGACCTCCCCTCTGAGGGCTGGCACCTGGGGCAGCTCAGCCTGGAGAAACTCCAGACAAGGCAGGCTGGGAGAGTGGCAGCGTCCGGAGCCTCACCAAGGGGCTGAACTTGAGCAAGCAGGTTCTGAAAGACACTTCTTCAAGATAAAGTCAATTCCCAGTGCACTAGCATTTGGATTACATAAGAATCCTAAAATACTGGAGCTGGAAAGGGCCTTCATGAAATCATTTCATTCAACCTGTTTATTTTATTTGAGGTGGGAGCTGAGACCCAGAGAGCAGAAAGACTCTGCCTGAGGTCTCAGAGCTGGCTGGGGGCAGGACAATGACTAGAACCACATCTCTGGATTTCCAGGCCAGTGCATTATGAACCAGGCTGGTCCCCAACCACTCAACGTATTTCTGGGCTCCATCACACCTTCTCAGGCTGGAGAATGGACTTGAGAAATACAAAGGTTAAACCCCGGAAAGAGAAGAAAGTTACTACTGCCTCCCAAATAATGTCCCATATAATCAAGCCACTCAGAAAAGTACCAGCCACTCCATAGGAGCCTTATGACCCTGTTTCTCTCCAGATCCCCTCCCTATGTGTGATGACAACAGAGAATGGGGGTTGGCAACCACTGCTCTGATCTCTCAAGGATATTACCAGCCACGGAGACCGAACATCACCCCCACCTCAGTTCAGGGTTCAAATAGCCTCTGCCCTCAAACTCTCCTAGAAACAGTCACCTAGGTGTCATATTTGGGGTTGAAGAAGGGAAGTTGGGAGGAGGTAGCACAAAAAAATAACCCCTGGCCGGGCGCGGTGGCTCACACCTGTAATCCCAGCATTTTGGGAGGCCGAGGCGGGAGGATCACGAGGTCAGGAGATCGAGACCATCCTGGCTAACATGGTGAAACCCCGTCTCTACTAAAAATACAAAAAAAATTAGCAAAGCGCAGTGGCGGGCGCCTGTAGTCCCAGCTACTTGTGAGTCTGAGGCAGGAGAATGGCGTGAACCCAGGAGGCAGAGCTTGCAGTGAGCCGAGATCATGCCACTGCACTCCAGCCTGGGCGACAGAGTGAGACTCCGTCTCAAAAAAAAAAAAATAACCCCTATCCCACTGGGTCTTGGAGGGGGCCCCTCGATCCCATGGGGTCTGGAAGATCTGGTGGTGGCTGCAGCAATGGAGTATGCGGATGCCAGACCTGACGGCTGGGAGCAGCAGATGACTCTCGGGGCATCAGCAAAGCCACAGCAGCTTGCCAGCTTGTGCACCAGCCCACAGGAACAGAAGCTGCCTTGCTTGCACTGCCTGCGGGCTTGCCACTGTCATGAGAAACCATTCCCACTTCCTAACCTGAGGAACACAGGCTTAGCCAACAGCAAGACTGATAAGCATAGTAGTAGTTTCAAATTCAGGAGAGCAGTGGGTGGTGTTCCAGAAACTTCTGATTGTCCTCCTCAACCATCTGTTCTCTCTTGCTTTAGTAACAGAACACACCATAGCCTGGCACACAGCAGCCCCCACTAAGGACTGCTTTCCAGACCCCTAGCAGCTAGGAGGGCCTGCCATGGGGATGTGAAAGTGAGCTGTCTTGGGCCATGCAGTTAAGGGAGGCACCTAGACGGTGCTACCCAACATGTGGCCCGGCGGCATTATACAATATGGGAGCCTGTAAGCAATTAACGTGCTCAGGTCCCATCACAGACCTCCTAAATTAGAATGATTCAGGGTGCAGTCCAAGAATCTATGCTTTAACAAGCCTTCCAGATTGTTCTTATACATGCTCAAGTTTGAAAACCACAGCCCTTGAGAATGCTAGGGACAACAGTCCATAAGGAGCCTGGTGCCAAGACAATCTCATGGAACACACACTTAACCTCGACCCTGATTTTTCAAGAAAGAGTGAGAGAGTGAGTGAGAGAGAGAGAGAGAGAGAGACGGGGCTCCTCTCTTCATTCACAACCAAACCTGAAACGTAATACAGGTGGCGTGGGGAAGATGACGATGAGAAACTTAACCCAACAGCAAAAATCAGGAAAGGAATGCATGCAAGTATAATAAGTAATAAGCAAGATGCAAAGAATAAAATCAAGTATATCTGGTATGTCAACAGTCAGAATTCCTCTACCAAAGACAGAAACCATGCAATTAGGTTTGTTGCTGTTATCATTGCCTTCTGTCAACCTCCATCCACCCTCAACCACGTTCTGATTATAAGAGAAACAAATTTTATTTACGAAGATTCCATCTTCAAGATAAACTTTTTTTTTTTTTTTTTTTGAGACCAAGTCTTGATCTGTCGTCCAGGCTGGAGTGCAGTGGCACGATCTCGGCTCCACTGCAAGCTCCGCCTCCCGGGTTCATGCCATTCTCCTGCCTCAGCCTCCCGAGTAGCTGGGACTATAGGCGCCCGCTACCACGCCTGGATAATTTTTTATATTTTTAGTAGAGGCGGGATTTCACCGTGTTAGCCAGGATGGTCTCTATCTCCTGACCTCGTGATCTGCCCGCCTCGGCCTCCTAAAGTGCTGGGATTACAGGCGTGAGCTACCGCGCCCAGCCAAGATAAACTTTTTTAAGTGAGAAAGAAATATTTAAAACTAAGGGTTGGGCAAAGACATACCAAATAAATGCAAAGAAAAACAGAGGTGGAAATATTAATAGTAAAAATAGGCTGGGCACAGTGGTTGGCTGGGTGCAGTGGCTCATGTCCGTAATCCCAGCACTTTGGGAAGCTGAGGTGGGCAGATTACTTGAGCCCAGGAGTTTGAGACCAGCCTGGGCAACATGGCAAAACCCCATCTCTACCAAAAATACAAAAATTAGTCTGGTCTCAAAATAAATAAAAATGAAAAAATATGTAAAATTTAAAAACATATATGTTGAAGACTTTTCGATAATCCTGCCTTAGCAAGCCAAGGGGTTTTTCCAGCCATTTCTCTCTGGCATTTGCCTTTATCTGTAAACACAGTACTTGGAGAACTACTCACTAGGATCTCAGGGTACAACAAGGCATAGCCTAGTCCAGCCCGCTGAGACAGTTTATGTGGCTTAAAACACAAGCACAGAGATGAGCTTATGACTTGGGGCCCGCGTCTTTCTGACTTCTGGCCCTGAGAAGTGTTTGTACTGGCTACTCTGTCAAAAACTCATCTTGCTGTCTGGAATGAGGAAGGAAATGCGTAAATGAGAGGCAGAGCAGTCCGCTTCTTGGACCTACAGGAAGGGGCAGGAATTGCAAAGTGAGAGAAGAGGTTCCCAGGCAACGTCCCAGGAGTTTGCACGCAAATCTCATTTTATCCACCCCTCCTAAAAATCTGGCTATCATGGGAACCATTAGGACAGCCAAGGACAGGGAGCTCATGGTCATCAGTGAGACCTGATTACTAACCGCTCCATGTGAGCCTGAACAGAAGCTAAAGGGGCATGGCTTGAATGTCCTCTGATGCCTGCATTTAAATTTCTGAGCCTTTCACTTATTATCTTATAAAATGCACTTATTTATTAATTTTAAGACTGTAAAGAAAAGAGATTCTCCCAGATCCTTGGCCATGTATTCTCCTAAAACACAGACAATATGGAATTTAAGACCAAAGACCAAAGGCATTAAATAACCAGCAAATGACAGGTAGGAAGATCAGCTTGATAAGCCTATATACATGAAACACGAAAGCCAAACTCAAAAGGCTAGAACTCCCACAAATATAAGTAGAGCTGGACTTTAAAAAACTACAGTGAGAGTTTTTGTTATACCTCTCAGAATCTGACAGCCAGGCAAGCAGGGATATAAGGGTAACTGAAGTTAAGAGATCTATCTAAAGTCAGCGTCCCGCAGAGGACCTATTTTCTCCTTTCACGCCCATGAAACATGTTAATATTTATCATGCAGTTGGCCACAAAGAAAATTTAATACCAGCCAGGTGCAGTGGTTCACTCCTGTAATCCCAGCACTTTGGGAGGCTGAGGCGGGGCGGGGGGATTGCTTGAGGCCAGGGCTTTGAGACCAACCTGGGCAACATGCTTCATTCACTCATTCATTCATTCATGAGAATGAATCCACTTTGTGAAAGAAGCAAACCCTTGCAGGTACCTAGGTCTGCCTGAGCACGGAGCGCCGTGGGGAGGGATGTCAGTGGCAGGCCATCCACATGTTCCCTTCTGGGATTGGAAAGGGAGCAGGAGGGTAAATCGAGGCAACAGAATCAAACACTCCCTCAACGACGTCCTCTTCGCCTTCAAAGCCAACATTTCAGAGCCTGTCTATCATCAGATCCTCACGTCCTGCTACTCCTCACCCATTCACTCCAACCTCGCTTCTGCTCACATCATCCCACCAAAGCAGTGAAGGCAGCCACATCTCCTCCATATCACTCACCACAGCCGCGATGCCAAGCTGACCACTCCATCCCACGAAGCAGACTCACCCTGGCCCCTGGGATACAACTCTGTCCTGGCTTTCTGGGCCCCTCTCAGGTCGCTCTTTTTCTGGGTCCTTTATAGGCTCATCTTCCTTTACTCAGCTGTTCGAGGTGAGTTCTTCAATCTCGCTGTGCCCATGACTTCAAATACAAACACAACCTAGACAAATGTCTGTCTAGCCAAGACGCCTCCTGAGCCCCAGACCCACCAGCTTATTTGGTATCTCAAAGACACCTCAAACACAACATGTCCAAAACCAAATACATGATCTTCTTCATCCTCCAAACCTGGTCCTCATCCAGTGTCCCATGTCTCAGGGACACCAGGTGGATGACTCTAGGGTGAGTGGGGGCGGTCTCTCCTTTTAAGCACACCACGCAGGGCGAGGCCAACAGTGGGTTCTCAGTAATAAGCAGTTCTACAGGAACATGCCTTGTCACCTACTTCCTAAAAATAGCCGTGACCTTTTTAGTGGACACAGCAAGCTCACATCTGTTATCACCACTCCTTCCCCACTGTCACACGCACCCTTTCCCCCAGTGGTGCCACTCCCCAGGCTGGATATGCCATATGCTCCCTAGCCTCCCTGTGAGCAGCCTCCACATTTCTCTTCTCTGCCCTCACTCAGATTTCCCCCATCTCATGTCCTCCAAGTCAGCCATCCCCAAGTGTGAGGGGCAGGGGACACCTGACTTCCTTCTCAATTTCCTTTCCTTCTTTTCTGCTAAGGCGGAGCCTAAGCCCCTGGAAAGCTAGAGATCCCAGAACCAGGCTTTGACCACCGCACACTCCACCCTCTGCTTCACAGCTCCTGGCAGTCACACACCCACGGTATCAACATTGTCATCACCACCCGCTAACTGATCTCAAACCCCTTTGCAAACATCTTCTCATCTGATTCTCCATTCCAGGCAGGCATTTTATCATCCAGAACTGTTCTGTGGGGGGGAAGCGGGGGGTCTCTGTGTGGCTGGGTGGCTTGTCCTAGGATACCTAGCACAGAGAACTCTGTCCCCCAATTTCTTAGTTGCCCCCACCCATTCCTTCCTCACATCAGCATGGGCAAGGCCAGCTGTGGTTTGGGTCACTGTTCAGGCTGTACTTTTAGGATCCTCCCAAATAGCAAACAACTATGTGACTATCAGGTCTTTATTTCATGGGTTATAGGAGATAGGGTCAGTAAGCCTAATGTGTAACAGTTTCAGTGGTTATTACAGAGTTCCATTGAATTGCAACAACTCCCTTTAAAAGCACAAACTCCCACCAAGAAAATCTCAGTTTCTTCATTAATCCTAAGAGCTTTCCTATCTAGGTATCACTCAAAATTCCTACTATTCTGGGGGCAATGGGATCAGAGGGTGTTGCAGAGAAAAATCCAGAGAAAGTGAAAAGTCTACTTCCTTGGCAGTGCTGGTGAAGCATACCCTTACACAGACGCTTCCCCATGGGAACAAGTGCCAGGAACTGCTTCAGGCTTACGGGGGAAAACAGTGGCTAAGAAGAGAGAGGAGGCCGGGCACGGTGACTCATGCCTGTAATCCCAGCACTTTGGGAGACTGAGGCAGGCAGATCACCTGAGGTCAGGAGTTCAAGACCAGCCTGGCCAACATGGTGAAGCCCCGTCTCTACTAAAAATACAAAAATTAGCCGGGCATGGTGGTGCATGCCTGTAATCCCAGCTACTCGGGAGGCCAAGGGAGGAGAATCATTTAAACCCAGGGAGCGGAGGTTGCAGTGAGCCAAGATTGCATCACTGCACTCCAGCCTGGGTGACAGGGCGAAATCTGTCTCAAAAAAAAAAAAAAAAAAAAAGACAGCAGAAGAAGAGGGGTGAATCCAGGAGGAAGGAGGGGGTGCACCAGAAAGGTCCCAGGACCTCTGATGTTCCAGCATTCAGCATGCATTTTGGTTCCACATTCAGCTCCTGCCCACACCAGTTTCTTTTCTCTATTCTACAATTTCCAAGAAGAACCCACACTAACCTATTCTGTCTCAACTCCCACTCCTGTCATCCCAAGCCACACATCACCTCCCCAATCACGTGAACTAGGCATCACTAATCGATCCTGGCCTTCTAGACACATCCACCCAGGGTGGGCCCTTTCTATAGTATCATGCATAAAGGCGTCAGGTGAGGCTTCCACTCCCACCTCTTAGTCCCAATTCATCTCCATCTCACCCTCCCCACGTTTCTCTATCCAAACCCAGCCTTCAAGGTCCTATATTTTAACCACAGGGAAACCACTTCCCTGTGCTGTCTCTGTTGTTCAACTAACGACAACTAATTTTCTGAGCACCTACATTAGGCAAGGCCCATCCTGAGTGCTGCCACCAAGAGGTAAGTCAGAAACAGCCCCCACCCTCCAGAGTCAGAGGACAGGGCAGCGATAAGCCACACCGCCACACAAATACTATGCAAGGCGAGAGATGAGAACCGAGTCAGTGCCAGAAGGGCTGAGTGAGCTCAGAGCATATCCCGTCCCTCCTGCTGGGAGCAGGCACCCGGATGGCTCCCAGGAGGGTGGAGAATGCTAGGCCAGACAGGGGAGGGAGGGCATTCCAGTAAGACAGAGAGCATGAGCTTAGCATGAGCTAAGCCAGAAAGACGGTTCAGGAGAAGTGCATTTCAACTTTAGCTGAACCTTCCACTGCTACTATTTATTGACCCTTACACCTGATTATTTATGACCCAGGCCTGCCTCACACACTTTATGGCTAATGTGGGTGACACCCATCTGGGATACACAAGTGTGGTGCAGCAGTCACCACCTGTTCTGACTGGTCCGTACCTGAGCTCTGTATTGTTATTAAATAAATGAATGCACTGAATCTCACAAGCCTGTGAGGCAGGGATTACTATTACCCCCATTTTACAGATGAAAAACCAAAGCACAGACAATAGTCAAAGAAAAGATAGCAAGGTATGCAGGAGCCTGAAGTAGTGGGCACCCAATGCCAGGGCAACAAACTGCCCTGGCACCTCACCTGGCCTCTCTTATCAGGGAACACCTTGCAGCACAAAGAATGCCTTGAGGAAAGGGGCCCTGTTAATCCCCTGGAATCCCCAACAATTGACTGCCGCATAAAAGGAATGAGGAAAGCAATGAGAGCCAGTGAAGGGTGAGCATACCAGGCCCTGCCCTGCAAACCTAGTCCCTGTTGCGTGGGCAGGGCAGGGCAGGGCAGGGCAGGGGCTCGGCCTCACAGCTCCACTCCATGCCCAGCGCAGAGAACAGAGGGGAGAGCTACCACAAACGCCGAATCTCTACAGAGAGGTCAAGGATTGGAGGGCAGAGACAGAAATGCCCCGGGCTGACTGTTTCCAGCTTGGGCTAGCACTGGCTGGCTTAACTTTTCCCCTCCAAAGTCTCTAGGTAACAAACTTCGCGTGTCTCCTTTAAACCAACAGACCATTTTACCTAAGTCTTAAGGGCCTGGCCTGCACCCATGGGAGATACAAGTCCAGGAATCCCTTCCTGAAACTGGGGATCAAGGTTGGGGAAGGGGCGAAGGCACGCACAGCACCTGGGATGGCTCCCGCATTCCCTCAAACACTGGGGAGAGTTCCTTACAAATAAACTGCAATGGTAGCAGCTCCCAGGAATGTGCGTGCTCCCAGTTTCGGAGGAAAGTTCCTGAAGATAGCCTTCTCTGCTTAATCTCCCCAAGCCTCGCCTAGAAGGGCGCGCGCACCCTGGAGGGCTCCGCAGGGCTGCGGGGCCGGGCCTCCGGCACCCCTCCCGCCACCCGTTGCCTCCTGCGCCCAGGGTCACGGCCCCTGGCCCTACCCAGGCCCAGACTGAGACCCCGACCCCTGAGCCCGGGGGGACGGCGAGTGCACCCCGACCACACATGAGGGAGCAGCCCCAGACGCCGAGGCTGATCTAGGGGGCTGCCAGGCCGACACGGCCCGCCCGCGACCCGCCGACGCCCTCCCCTGCCCCCCACCCCCACGCCTGTAGTGCAACCAGGAAGCCGCAGGGCCGCGCTGGGCTGGGCGCCAGGCAGCCCCGGGCCTCACCCGCGGCGCCGCGGTGCACTGCCGCCGCCTGGTCCCAGGCCCCCAGCCGGCTCGGGACCCTCACTCACCTGGCCACGGGGACTCCGGACGCGAGGGGCGAAATGGGACGTGGGCGGGAGTGGCTCTCTCCGCGGGCGTCCCGGGCGCGGCGCCTGGGTTCTGCCTAGGGGCTGGGTCCCACTCCCGCTCGCGGGGCCCGCGGGGCACTCGGGGCACTGGGGAGCCGCGGGCGCAGCAGCCGTCAGCGCCGGGCGGAAAACTCCGCGGGCGCGGCTGCCCCAGGTGCCAGAGGCAGTGCAAGGGAGGGGCGGGGCCTGAGCGCGGCCCCGCCCCCAAGATGAGGACTGGGCACGGCGGGCCCGCGAGGAGCAGCAGCCTTCCGGCTGCGGAGCTGCTCCAGGAAGTCTCGGGCTCCGGAGGTCCCTCTGCCGCCCCTAACCCCTGCGGCGCCCAGTGCCGCGCAGAGCCGCATTCGCCCTCCTGCAGGGGTGGGCATTTCCTAAGTCCTCTCCAGCCCCGTGTGCGTCGGTTAGTGACTCTCTTTAAGGTCGAGAAAACTTTTTACACTGAAAAGGTCAAACGCATTTCCTTTATAGCAACACTCGGTGGTGGTGGAGGGGGGAAGGTCACGCACAGTATGTGAGGAAGGGAGCGGTCAGTGACTATCGTGGAGAAACCTGACAAACCACCCAGCCGTCAAGGTGACCTCGACAGGGGTAAATCATACTGATTGCATGCACCGCTTGTGGTCTTCCTCCCAAGAACACCTAACCCCACTGTAATCATGAGGAAAACATCACAAATCAATTGAGGCCCTTGCCATATACATGACCAGTACTCCTGAAAACTAGCAAGGTCATCAAAAACAAGGAAAGTCTAGGACACTGTCACAGCCAAGAGGAACCCACGGAGATATAAAAATGACTTAAGATGTTAATAATAGGAAAAGCCCGGGTTTATGAGAATTCCCTGTATTCACACTTTTTCTGTAAATCTAAAGATGTTCTAAAAATAAAGCATATTTTTAAAAGGTCACCCAGGTAATATATGCATATATGGTAGGTATACAATTTTTTTTTTTAATGAGTGGTGGCTGACGCCTGTAATCTCAGCACTTTGGAAGGCCAAGACAGGAGGATGGCTTGAAGACAGGGCTTCCAGACTAGCCTGGGCAACATAGTGAGACCCAGTCTCTAAAAAACTAAAAATAAAAAATTCAAAAAATGAGTAAAAATTGAGATTCACTCTTCCCTCCACTCCCCCAGCCCACTCTTAGGTGTGTCCTTCCAAATATCTCTCTTTAACACTGTGTGTGTGTGTTTACATAAACGTATTGTTTACAAAACGATATTGCAGTACTTTTCTGCAACATGTTTTTTTACTCACTATATCTTGGAGGGTCTTTCCATACAAGTGCTCCTGAACAGACCTGGTTCTTCCCATCCACTGCACACTGCGCGCCATCGTGCGCTTCACCATTCTTCATTACCTAGCTCCTTACTGAAGGACATTTAGGTTGTTGCCTATGTTTGGCTGTTACAAACAAGCTGCTGGTTCGATTTTCCTTTTTTTTTTTTTTTTTCTGAGACGGAGTCTCGATCTGTCGCCCAGGCTGGAGTGCAGTGGCGCGATCTCGGCTCACTGCAACTTCCGCCTCCCGGGTTCAAGCGATTCTCCTGCCTCGGCCTCCTGAGTTGCTGGATCTACAGATGCCCACCACCACGCCCGGCTAATTTTCATTTTTAGTAGAGACGGGGTTTCACTATGTTGGCCAAGCTGTTCTCGAACTCCTAGGCTCAAATGATCCGCCCGCCTCGGCCTCCCAAAGTGCTGGGATTACAGGCGTGAGCCACCGCGCCCGGCCCGATTTGCGTTTTAAAGTCGCTCTGAACAATAAAATCCGGAAGGACTGGAGGGGAGGCTCCGACCTTCTCCCTGTCTGGGCAGGTGTGCTGGTGCCGGGCAGGAACGGTGCCTTGGGACAGCCTGGCCCCGGCCTCACAACGGGCCCCGGGCGCTCAGTCATATTCCGTGGCCGCTCCAACACCCCCTACCCCCACCAGCAGGCGCGGCTCTCTTTCGGGGCTGGACTGCATTTTTTGGACATGAGTCGGCGAGTGAGGGTGAAACTCAGGCCAAAGTCTCCAGAGCCGCTCGGAGAAAACGCTGCCTGGAACAGAAGAGCAGAGGATCAGAGGCACCACCAGAGACTCTCAGAGTGGGTTATTACCCTGGTGGGGGCGCCTGCTGCGGCGTAGGAGATGGCGGGACTGGGGGCGCGGGTGTGAAGCCCCCAAGAAATCTGTGTGAATTTCCTGGGGAGGTAAGGTCTCCAGGCGCTCTCTCTGGGCCCGGGGATTGGTCCGGGAAGGTCTCCTGGCGCCTACCCAGCCCCCACTGCCTGGACGCCTGCGCCTGCTCTGCCGCCCCACAGCGACCGCGAAGGCCAGCTTCTTCGAAAGGCCCATTTTTCTCCGTGGCTGAGCGAATGCTCCTAGAATACCACGTTTATAATAAATCATGTAGGGTGGAATTCCTGCTGGATGTATACACCTTTCTGCATCAGAGCTCTTCAAACCCAGAATGGTGAATAGCTACCCCTGGGCTTACCCTTTTATAATTTTCAACAAACCTGCGTTTAGCCCCGGCTAGGTGCCAGCAAGTTGCTAGGGACTGAGGAGGCTCTGCAGAGGACCCGAGCTGAGGCCCTAATCCTCAAGGCCAATGGCAGGGGTCACCGCCCAGGCACCCCCAGAGAACGCGGTGTGAAGGAAAAGACACCAAACTCGGTGTTCAAATGTGTGGGATCTATTCTAGTTCTGATTCTGACACTTGCAAGTCATGCATCCTCCGAGCCTCGGCTTTCTCACCTATAAAATCTTCAACGTGACCTATAAAAATCCATAAAATCACCCCTGCTTCATTGTTTCCCAGGGCTCATAGAAACATCATACAAGGTAAGGGAAGGTGAGTGCACTGTAAAAAATGGTGACGTGCTATATAGCTCTGAGTAGTATGGTATATAAGCTTCCTTTTTAAAAATTTTAATTTTAGGGCCAGTGTTGGGATTACGGGTGTGAGTTACCGCACCCGGCCTCTTTTGTTGTTTTCTAATAAGTATATATGACTATCATTTCCCTCAAAAGTCTGCTTTAGCTGAATATCACAAGTTTTAATATGCTATGCTTTTGTTATCACTTAGTTATACATATTTGGATTTTGTTGTTGTTGTTGTTACAGAGTCTCGCTCTGTCGTCCAGGCTGGACTGCAGTGGCAAGATCTCAGCTCACTGCAACCTCCACTTCCCGGGTTCAAGAGATTTTCCTGCCTCAACCTCCTGAGTAGCTGGGATTACAGGTGCACGCCACCACACCCGGCTAATTTTTTAATTTTTAGTAGAGATGGGGTTTTACCATTTTGGCCAGGCTGGTCTCCAACTCCTGACCTCAAGTGATCCACCGGCCTCAGCCTCCCAAAGTGTCGGGATTACAGGCGTCAGCCACTGTGCCTGGCCAATATTTTGTTTTTTATGTTAGGATTGTATGCTTAATTCATGGATTATTTAGACGTATATTTTCCATTCTTTTTTTGTTTTCAAACTTCAGTTTTTTAAAAAATAATAATAATCATTTGGGGAGGGGCCCAGTGGCTCAGGCATGTAATCCCAGCACTCTGGGAGGCCAAGGTGGGAAGATCGCTTGAGATCAGGAGTTTAAGACCAGCCTGGGCAACACAGTGAGAGCCCCTCTACAAAAAAAAATTTAAATAAAAATAAATCAATCATTTTGTCATTGATCTCTAACTTTAATGCTTGGAGATGAGGAAATGTGTTCTTTTAGAATTTGTTAATGCCTCCTTTGTGGCCTCATATACAGACTTTTTTTGGCTGTCCCAATTTTTGTGAACGTCTCTTCACTTTTTATGTGGTTTTTTTTTCTCTATATCTCTCCATCTAGCTTGCTAATCAGGTTATTTAGATCTTTTATCTCCTGGGTTTTTTTTTTTTTTCTCTCCTGTTCAATCCATTGATTTCTGAAAGAGTAGGTTTAACATTTCCCACTTTTATTGTAGTTTGTCAATTTCTCCCTCTAATTTAGTCTGATTTTGCTTTATACTATTTTTTTTGGTTTTTTGATTTTTGTTTAAGAGGCAGTGTCTCACCATGTTTCCCAGGCTGGAGTACAGTAGCTATTCACAGGTGTGATTATAACTGCAGCCTCAAACTCCTGACCTCAAGCCATCCTCCTGCCTCAGCCTCCTAGGTGGCTGGCATTACAGCCATGTACCACCTCACCCGGCCAGCCTTATAATTTTGAGAGCAAATTATTAGGCTTATACAAATTAATATTGTTTTATCCTTTTATGACTTATTCAGTTTTATTACTTTTTGTATAAATATTGTTATCCTGAGATAGCATTTGTCTAGTATATGTTTTATTTCTCCTTTTTTACTCTTTCTGTATTGTTACTTAGGTTTATCTCTTGGAAATGACATATTGTTTTTTACAAGATTTAAAAAGTTCATCTGAGTTTCTATTTCTAATTTGTGAGTTTAACCAGTTCACATTGATAAGAATAACAGAAATATTTGGGTTTATTTCTGCCATCATTTGTGTTATACATATACCCTTGAAATGGATATTCATCTAGAACACATTGATAAAATCCTATAAATTATTACAAACTGGAATTCTTCCATGCTGCTTGGTAAATAGCTGCTCACCTGAGACCCCACAGTGCCCCCACTCCTGACCTTCTTCTGATCTGGCAAAAAAGGGTCAATGCTTCTCACAGGGAGACCCTCTAGGACCTTTTCTAAGATTCTAATTAGTCAGCAAACAGGCTACACCAGTGGCTTAATATTTCAAATATCATGTACAATATGCTTTCTTGTTGTTTCTTTTTTCTCTTTCCCTGCATTCGTTTGGATTGTTTGAATTTTCTTTAATAGGAGGGAGGTACAAGAATTACAGATGTATCAATAAATACCAGCCTACTAGTACCTTTACCAGAATATCCCTCAAAAGCTCAAATTTATCATGTCAAGAAATGAACTTTTTCTCTCTAAACCTGCTTTTTCTCCTGGGTTCTGTCCCCCGCTGGGGTACCACAGTCTGACAAGCCATTCCAGCTAGAGATCTGATAGCAGCTGGATTTCTGTCTGCCAGAATCATTTTTCAAATGCTGTCAATAGAGACGGATTCACCAGGAAACTGCAAGGCCCCTTGCTTGCATGGGCTCTTTACAAGGTCCTGGTGGGAAAGGCTTTAACAATGTTTGACATGGTAATATGTTTTTACAGACTTTGCAAAAGTAAGCGATTTTAAGTGCAAATGCAGTCATGCGTTGCTTAATGACAGGGATGTGTTCTGAGAAATGCATCCTTATGTGACTTTGTTGTTGTGCAAATGTCATCAGGTGTACTTACACAGAACTAGATGGTAGAGCCTACTATATGCCTAGGCTGCCTGGTATAGCCTATCGCTTCTAGGCTACAAGCCATTGCAGCGTGTTACAGTACAGAATATGCTAGGCAATTGTAACACAATGGCAAGTACTTGTCTATCTAAACATGCCTAACCACAGAAAAGGTACGGGAAAAATATGGTATGATAATCTGAAGGGACCATCATGGTCCAGCTCATCTGGCTTCTGTCCTGGGGAGGCAGGTGGAGGCAGAACCCCCGCTGCTAGCCAGGGAAGAGCTGCTAGTCCTTCCTGCCCCTGCCGCCTGCCTGTCATGTGCCCCTGCCTGACCATCATGGTCCCACATGGTCTGTCATTGACTGAAATGTCCTCGTGCAGCACTTGACTGTAGTTAAGATGGCTGGCTCTTTCCACTCTGATTTCCCCTCCATCTCATTGCTCCTCGTGCCCCTCATGTTGGAATGGTCATAGGCATTTTTAGGATCTGGCTTGGGATGAGACAGCTTTATGTAGTTTACAGTCACTTCTGTGTGTGGTTGCATTACCGCTAGTCTTCCAGCGTAGGAAGGGCTTCCAGGAATATTGTTCTGATTCAGCCAGCAGGGTCGGAGATGATATCTAAATAATAAACATTTCCCCAGCACCTGTTTTCAGAAATATGTCAGCAGTGGAGGAGAAACAAGTATGGAGCCAGAAACTAGTCTATGGAAAACTCTCTCCCCCATCATATGTATAGAGTTTTAAGCATGTACGGCTGTTCACATCCATGCCTATTTAAAATGGAAGTTCTCTCCTGTAGAGAACATACTCAATAGTGCAATATATACACTTATAACACACACATATAAATATGTCTTTTTTGAGCAATTTCAGTAAATGTATTTTGTTAGAGCTCCTGTGTAGTAAGGCAGAACTAGAGGAGTATTGCAAATAGAAGTATGCTTTTGTGTGAAATGAGATGTCTTATGCATCTCACTGTATCTGATTGCATCTTAGCTTGTCTGATATATTTTATTCCAATGAAGTCCACAAGTTCTAGATGTCTCGCCTCTCTTGAAACATCGCATTGCTTGTGTCCCCTCGCCCTACCCTGTGGTCTCCTGTCTGCACACCTTCGCTCGGGCCGTCTCCCCAGCCTACAATGGCATTTTCTCCTCTTTTCACTTTGGCTGCTCCTACTCATTCTCCAAGATTCTGCTTACTTCTTATCTTTTCTATACATTCTCTGACTTCCCTTTTCGCGATAGTGGACTGAGCACATGCTGCCATTTCTCCACCCAGGCCCATCCTCCAGGAATGACAGGGAAGGAAAAAAATTAGTGTTCTCAAAAAGATAACAGGAAATGTTCAGAGAATCAGAAGCACTGACACGTTTCTGAGAAGCCAAAAGCAGACAGGATCTGATTTGATACTGCAGCCCAGCTCATGAGCAGCAGCCAAGGACATACTATAGGTATACTACAGTATATACTTCAATAATGGGACCAGCAACAAGGCATTCCACACCCAGAGGTGGTGAATGCCTGGAACAAGACTCGGGACCAAAGGGCTACTGACAGAGGGTTAAACAAGTATGCCCGTGGAAGGAGCTAGATGAATTGACCCTGAATATCTCCCTCAACCCCACCCCGGCAGACAAGATGACCAGGACAGCAGTGTCTGTCTCCTGGTATGAACTGTGTTAGGAATGAAAGACAGGACAGGGCCCCATATGGCTGGCAAAGCCAAGGAAGAGTTAAGTAGCAGCCACATCCCAAAGACCAGCTGTGAGAGCACAGCTGGTCCACCTGATAGTGCCTCTGCCTGTTCTGCACTCTCCTTGAAAGCAACATGGAGCACAAGCTCATCCAGCGATTTCCAGCCCTCCCTCACAGCAAGCTAGGCCAGCAGATTTCTTGCAGAAAATTTCATGGGTAAAGATGAGTTCCCTGTCAAAAAATATCATTTGAGAAGCACCACCATGAAAGGGAGACGTCCACCTGAGGAAACATAATAATCATAGCTAATATTTACTGAGCATTTATGTGTCAGGCACTATTGCAAACATAAAGTGGGACTATTTTATGTTTGCAATAGACACATGAATACCTTACAAGAGTCCTGCCTTATAAGAGTTTAAGGTAGGACTATTTTTATTGCCATTTTACAAACGAAGAAACTAAAGTGTCAAGTGATTAAGTAACTTCGTCCAAAGTCACATAGCTTAACATGAGAAGCCACAGATTAACCTCAGCTGTCTGGCTCCAGATCTGGAGATTAAACAGAACAAATAGACAACCAGTAATGTGCTTTGAAGTAAGTATAATGAATATTCTCAAATAAGAAAGGATAGGAAAGAATCAATTAGGGATGTCAGAGATGAACAATGTGTTCATTTTGTATTACTGATCATGGGAATAAAAAACAAAAAATATATTCATAGTTTAAACAAATAAAACCACCTGAGTGGATGAGCTATGGAGTGGAATGTATGCAGCTAAAGAGCTGATTAGTGAACTGAAAGATTGGAATCCTCCCTGAAAACAGCAGACTTGGATAAATAAATAGAAAGTAGAAAAGAAAAGATAATAGACATGGAAGATAGTTCCAGAAGTGCCAACATCCACCCACTGGGTGTTACCAAAAGAGAGACTGCTAGAGAAATGGATGTCCAATGAAACATGGTTGATTTGCAACACAAATTTATTTCCTCTCCCTCCCCAAATCCTAATAAAATGGCAGTAGAGGAAGAGCACAGGTAAAATCCTTCAAGGACAGTAGGGACAAGAGAGGAGAAAACAGCAACCAAGAATTTGGACACGTATTTTGGAGATAGTATACAAAGGAGTGGTAATTTGGCAGAATGGTGCATGTTCTCACTTGGATGCCCCAGAGGGAGAAAATAAGAAGAAGCCAATAGATTCTCGCTACTTCACCCCCAGAGTCTAAGAAAGGATCCACACTTAAAGAGGTGAGGTACAGTGTGAGGCTGTAAACAGGAAAACAGAGGCATAAGTGGAAACCCTAGGCCACTTTCTCTACCCTCTTCAGCCAGGGGTCCCCTCCACCCAGGGGAGAAAGGAGAGTTATTTGTCATATAAATTGAACTGAAGAAACTGTAGAATGGGAGGTCTGAGCCACACAGGTTTGGGAGGAGGAGGTAAGGACAAGTTTAAACACAAGGATTAAGCCACAATCTACATATTGAATGATGGGACCCCAGTCCACAGAGAGTGAGTAACCTAATTTACAATCTATAGGCCAGAGTCCGGAGGATTCATTTGTGGAGAAAAGGAATGTCCCACACAAAGGGCCTCCAAGTGGCTGATGTGTGCTGGTTTCCTCAATGAGGAGCTGACCTGATGCTCAGACACTCTGTGGTGAGCTCCGTCAGTCAAAAAGCCCCGCTCCCCCACAGAGACTGCAGTCAGTGTTTTGTGCCTCACCCCCAAATGTGAATACACAGCTAGGGGTCACCACCTGGGAGGAAGGCCTCCAGCAAGGGTGACCAACCTTCCTGGCTTGCCAGGGACCGAGGGGTTTCACAGGACATGGGACAGTCAGTACTACTATGGTTTGAGTTTGTCCCCACCAAAACTCATGTTGAACTTTGATCCCCAATGTGGCATTGTTGGGAGATGTGCCTGGTGGGAGGTGTTTGGGTCACAGAGACAGATCCCTCATAAATGACTTGGTGCACTCCAGCTCTCTCATGAGAGTGGATTTAGTTCTCGTGGGAATGTTCCTGCAGGAATGGGTTGTTGTAAAGCCAGGATGCCCCTCAGGTTTTGTCTCTTCCCACGTGTCCACTCACCATTGAGATTTTCCACCATGTTATGACATAGCAGAAAAAGCCTCCACCAGAATCTGAGCAGATGCTGACACCATACTTTTTGAACTTCCCAGCCTGCAGAACTGTGAGCCAAATAAACCTCTTTTCTTTATAAATTCCCCAGCCTCAGGTATTCTTCTATAGCAACACTTAATGGACTAAGACAAGTACTAAAATAAGAAAAATCTCTGCCAAACCAGAACGAGTTAGTCGTCCTATTCTAGCATGTGCAAGCAACGTCCATTTGCATGGCTTTGCTTAATAATTTGCAAGCCTGACCTATATTCACAGCTCACAGGCTGAGAACACAGTCATCTGCTGTAATTTATATAATCTTGTGACAACACCTGCCAAAAATCATATTAAATGGCTTGTGACTTTTCTTGATCCTCTTCCAGCCTTTGACACAATATATAAGGAAAAATATGAACTATCCTGCTTGTAATTTCCAGTGGGTAAAACAAAGATGTGTCCTGGATCCTTTTATTTTTAACTTGAAACCATATTGAGATATCCCATTAGTTTGCTTTCCTACTGACCCACATAACTGTTAGGCACAGTGCAGGCTATTGACCAGTGTCAGCTACAAAGGATCAGTATCTGTGCCTGCAGGTTGTTGTATACGGTAGGGCCCCGCCACCCTGCTCTGCAGTGGAACACAGAAGGTCAGGCATTCTCTCAGATGCAAATAACCTGATGTGGGTATCATGGACTAGGAGTAGTTTTAGTAGACAATGAATACTGCTATCTAATGACCTCCAGAAACAAGGGCTACCAAATCTGGATCTGAAATAATCATTTTAATGGAAATACCCCAAATTTAGGGAGATTTATAGGAAATAATGATAAACAATAAATCATTTAGTTACTTTGGGTGCACACTTCACAACCAGTTTTAACAGGGCTTATTGCTCAAAATTAGATGGACCGCAGGTATGTGTGTGTGTGCACATGCCTATGTGTATGTGTAGCCAAACAAGATATATAGTTACATGCCTGCTTTACATTTTTCCTGGGCTATTTTTATTGCCATTGCATTTTATGATGTGGAATTGTAGGGAATCAGTTACCCATTCATTGCCCTGTTAGGGAACTCTCAAATTTCCTCCTGAAGAGAATCTTGGCTCTGCCTGCAGGGACTCCCCTGATGCACTTTGGAGGGGATGTGGGTTGGCCTTCTCTTCAGAAACACGTTGACTTTCCTCTTTCTTTCTCTTTCTTTCTTTCTTTCTTTCTTTCTTTCTTTCTTTCTTTCTTTCTTTCTTTCTCTCCTTCTTTCTCTCTCTGTCTTTTTCTTTTTTCTTTTCTTTCCATGTGTGAGGCAAAGATTTATTTCTTCATTTCTTGCATTTGAAGTACTGTTCGATGACATCCTTGGCCTGAGACTCCTTCCATAGTCCTTAACTACTGCACAACTGCAACCAACCACTTTACAGGGTTTCCCCTCTCTGTCAATTGTACAGGGGCCTTCCCATTCCCCTAGTTTCTTGTCGTCGTCACCCTTGATTAGGTTGATTTGGTGTTCAGCACAATGGGCCTTCACCAACTTGACATACATAGGCTTATCACAGTTGGATGCAAGCACACAAAGGTGGGCTTGGCGCTTGGCGGCAGCAGGGAAAGAGAGGAATGTTCTTTCTGGTGCATGAGTTTTCATACGAGGATCTATGTCAAGCCACAGCTCAGTTTGTTATTAAGGTATATGGCTCGTCTCTTAATTGGCAATGGAAAGTTCCAGCATTCCAAGTAGAATCTCAACCTCAGAGCCACACTATACTTTTCAAAAGCTTGGCTAAGAGAAATGCTACTCGTGGATAAGTGCCTGGAGAGTGCATGCTGTATTCAATCCTCTGGACAAATATTCTTAAATCTATTACCAATTTAGCCAGAGCCATGAACCTGTGAGCTTGACTGCTTCCCACTGACTCCTTGAAGAATGACTTTTAATGCTTTGTGCTTTGGTTGAGGGACATGATACACATTATACAAAGCATGGTTTTGAACACTGATCCCCAACTGTTGCAGGGATATTGTTGAGGATGTGGCTTCTCTATGAAGCCTCTCTATGAACACCTAGAGGAGAATATGCTCTTTGGTCCTCAGTATCTGGAATAGTTGTGCTTTTTCCTAGCAACCTGCAAATATTCTGGATCTCATAATGTGTCATATATCCCTCTCCCCATCAGCAGCTAGGGTCTTAGAGCCAAATCAGTGAACAACCATGAGGCCACACAAAGAGGACTAATCACAGTTGGTGAGGTAGAATCAGAGCCTGGGGTATAGGCAAGACACCGTAGTGGCTCGATCTGCCATGGGCAGATCCAGATGTTGAGTGTCAGGGAACCCCCTCCCTAGGGGAGGGTTTGCAATGAACATGGATCCTCCAAACCACCCTAATGCAGGTGCCTGTAGGCCATCACTGCCTCTGAGGGTTAGGGTTGGGGTTAGGGTTAGGTACGTTAGGGTGATGACATGGCACACCTGGTCCTATACCTATACCCTTCTCTCCAGCTCTCTATCCTTTACTAACACACATGGATGGCATTGTTGGGAGCAGCAGGAACTGCATGTGAGTCAAATGCCATGTGCTTTCCATTGTTTCAGCCATCACAGTCCCCAGGGGTAGGTACATTCACACCCCAAAGTTCACTTCTATTATGTCAGCCAGGGAAGCAGTATACTAGACATTAGCAGTGTGGGCTCTGGAGTCAGGGGGCCAGTTTCAAATCCTGCCTCCATCTCTCACTAACTGAGAGGCCTTGGTTGAGACATTTAGTCTCTTTATCTATAAAACAAGAATAAAACACTGCTTACAAACACTGCTGTGGCAGGAAACACATTACATAACCACTGTGAACCATTTAGAACAGAGCTTAACCCAGCAATAAATGCTACAAATAAATATATTGTGGTGGTGAAGACTTTGGTTTTTGGAATTGAATACACCTGGGTTCAAATTCCATCTCTTCCAGGATCAACTGTGAAAACTTGGGCAAGTTTCCAACTTCATTAATCCTCACCTTTTCCAACTGCAAAATGGGGCAAATAGTGCATACAAAACTCATGGTCCACTGCTTGAGATGAAGTGTGTGCTCCATAAGTGATAGCTTTAGCCACTTGTTATTTTACTGCTATACCAGAGAGAATGCAGCTCAAGCTAAACAGGCAAGAGGGAATGTCTAAGGTGATTCTGCAGAGCTGCCAACCCTATGCAGCAACTGACCTCCATCTCCAACACATGGTAGTAACAGCTACTTAAATGGATTGTGTTCTATGTTCTAGGCAATGACCTGAGAGTTTTTATATTTTTGTTTTACCTGGGACTAGGTATGGTGGATCTCAATATTTTGGGGGCCACAAGTACTGTATCAGACTGGTTCCAATCAAGGGATAGAAACCACAAGTGGTTCATGCAATGGAAGTTTAATATAAAGAATTATTCAGCTATGATAAAAGAGCAACTATATGATGCAAAGAGAACCTTATAGGGCTACTCTCCCTACAGGTGGAGAAGAGTACCCAAGAAGGACAAGCTTGGAATGGGGCCCCCTCCCCAGGCTGGAGATCAGACATTGTTGGAGAAGGTATCATTGCAGCCCCCTACATAGCAGAGAGATTTGCTGAGTTGCATAGTCTAGAGCTGGTTGCAATTATTGGACAAGCAGGAAACAAACCTCCACAGCCCATGCGAGCCACACTGCTGGGTTGAGTGTATGAGCATGTAGAATGATTGGGTCTCCAGTGCGGACAGAAGGCATGGATCGCGTGGTGCCTGTGTTGGGAGGATACTAAGAGGGCGATCACCATGCCAGGACAAGACTAGTTGCCTGGGATCTTCTGGGCACGTGACTGGAGCAGAGTACCACTGGATCTCCTCACACCAGCCAGACCCAGGAAGAGAAGCTCCTTTCACCTGCACTGTTCTCTCAGCACCCTCCACGGAGAAAGCTTCATGTTATGCTTAGTGTACAGGAGAAATGCTCATGGGAATCCTGTCCATTATCACAGAGCAGGTATTAGTGGGTGAATATGGAGCTGAGAAGTAATAAGTTGTAACTGGCATAGATATCATGGGGATATTTGAAGAACGCTGTGAACACATATGCATGGGTCCATGTATTCATGAGTGTGCACATATGTGTAATTATTCATACAATTCATGGTGGATACTACTTCGAGGGTGTTCACAGACCCCAGGCAGAGAGCGCCTGGAGGGAAAATTATCCAAGGCAGGCCCATTCATAGTTCCAGGACAGCCAGAAGAAAGCCTCCGTTAAGCACCAGAAGTCTCCGGGGCAGGTGGGGCCAGGCAGCATGAAAGAATTGGCCGCAAGAGTTCCAAACCCTGTCCCAATTATGGAGGGTGACTTTTCTTTGTCCTCCTTCTCCATTCCCTTCCATATTGCTCATGCATCCAAAGGGAGACCTGAAGACTCTCTAGCAGGGCAAGGCCATTTTCTTTTGGCATTTTTCTCTCCCCAGAGTCTAGCTGATTATCAGCTTAGACACACAGCAGGCTATGTGCTGTGAACAACAGGCATCCTGGGTTATTTTACAAACTCATGGATAGTCATTTTGAAACCACCTTTGCAAAATTGTGACTGAAACAGTGAAAGAGAGCTAACTTAACCAGCTCCATCTTGTTTCTAACCTCCAAGCTGTCTTTGTTCATTCCTGGGCGTAGGCTGAACTAACTTTGGGAGAAACTTAGTTTGTAGTTATAGTTTAAACAAAGACTGTGACAGCCCTTTCCCAATGCAGACCTCCTTCTTGTCTGGGGACTAGACTAACATTAGCCACAGGATTAGAAATTACGGTTTAGGAGTCACGCAGCTGGAGGCTACAAGATTCTGACCCTCCCTAAACTGCTTCTAAGATCAGTGCTTGAGACATGTTGCAGACCCCGCACTTGCTGGATCAGCTGACGCCACACAGATGGATAAACTGCCTCGTCTGATCTTGTGGCCCCCACCCGGGAACTGACGAAGCGCAAGAAGACAGCTTCGACTCCCTGTGAGTTCATCCCTGACCAACCAGCACTCCTGGCTCACTGGCTTCCCCCTACCAAGTTATGCTTAAAAATTCTGCTCCCCGAATTCTCGAGGAGACTGATTTGAGTGATAATAAAACTCCAGTCTCCCGCACAGCCGGCTCTGCGTGAATTACTCTTCTTCTATTGCAATTCCCCTGTCTTGATCAATCGGCTCTGTCGAGGCAGCAGGCAAGGTGAACCCCTTGGGTGGTTACAATTTTGCTCCTTCAACAAAACTCCAAGTTCCTCTTTGATAGTGGCAAACACCAGTTGCCGTATTTTCTACTGTTACTGGCACAAAAAGTCCCTGTTCACAGCCCTGCTGGACGTAAGGGCCCAGGTGCTAAAAAGTTACCCCCCACCTCACCCCAGCCTCATCAGCGGGGCTGGATACTGGCAGTGGGCAGAGGAATGAAATTTATTTATTTATTTTTCTTATTTATTTTTGAGATGGAGTTTTGCTCTTGTCGCCCAGGCTGAAGTACAGTGGCACCATCTCAGCTCACTGCAACCTCCGCCTCCTGGGTTCAAGCAATTCTCCTACCTCAGCCTCCTGAGTAGCTCGGATTGCAGGCTCCTGCCACCACACCCAGCTAATTTTTGTATTTTTAGTAGAGATGAAGTTTCACCATGTAGGTCAGGCTGGTCTTGAACTCCTGACCTCAGGTGACCCACCCGCCTCGGCCTCCCAAAGTGCTGGGATTACAGGCAGGAGCCACCAAGCCCGGTCTTTTTTTTTTTTTTTTAACATGTCATGTTTTTATTGTACTGTACTGTACTGTACTGTACTGTACTGTACTGTATTGTATTGTATTGTATTGTATTATATTGTATTGTATTTTGAAACAGAGTCTCACTCTGTTGCCCAGGCTGGAGTGCAGTGGAGTGATCTTGGCTCACTGAAACCCCCGCCTCCCAGAGTCAAGCAATTCTCCTGCCTCAGGCTCCCGAGTAGCTAGGACTACAGGCCATGCCCAGCTAATTTTTGTATTTTTAGTAGAGATGGGGTTTCACCATGTTGGCCAGGCTAGTCTCAAACTCCTGACCTCAGGTGACCCACCTGCCTCGGCCTCGCAAAGTGCTGGGATTACAGGCTTGAGTCACTGCACCTGGCGAAATTTATTTCGTTAGATTCTCAAAAAATGTATGACACATGAGTGGGACTTTCTGCCTCCATCCCACATCTGCCAGAGTAAGGAGAGAGTCCAGGAGCTAGGAGTATTCAGGGTAAGACTCCCCCTCCCTCGGCCACATTGTCATTGTCAGAGTGAAGAAGGCCCCTGGAACTCCATGTGTTCCTGGCAATCCCTCCTTCCTCCCCCACCATAGACACCCCCCAACATCGTTATTTTCCCTGAGAGCATCAGGACCCGTCTTCTTAGGGCCTTTATCTCGATATGCATCAGTCACTCCAAGAAGCTCAGGCCCCTAAGTCATCCCTTCCCTTATCTCCTAGGCCTGAGTCCACATATAGCTCTATGTGGCTCTCTCCACCACTCTCTAGCCTTCATTTTTCCCCTTAGCACATACATCACCTGACATACAATGCATTTGACTGACTTATTTCTTAGTCTCCCCTGATTGAGGGTGGGGTGTTCTGTCTCTCTTGTTTGACCACTATACCCCCAGGATCTACAAGGTGTCTGGCATGTAGCAGGGACTTAATAAACGTGGGTTGAGGAATGAATGAACAAACAAAAGCATCTTTAGTGTCCTCTGTTCTCTGGACCTCAGGCTCCACTGCAGCCTAGTTAGTCTTGATCTTCAGGCCTAAACAAGGCCCAAACCACAGGCCTGCTTCCATACTGGCTTATCCCACCTATCTAGCAGTTTCCCAGGCTGGGCTTTGGAGACAGGTGGGCTTGGATTTGAATCCTGGCTCTGCATTATGAGGCTTTTAACACCCCATTTTCCTTATGTGTAAAACCAGAAGGATGCCTAACTCCCAAGAATATGGTAAGTGAATTAAATGGAAGGTGTGTGTAAAGAGCTCAGCACAACTCCTCCAACACAGTAAGTGCACAATAAATGTGGCCATGAGGGAGGCAATAGGGCAGGGTGAGGAGGAGCAACAGGCTTCCTCTGGTGACATCTCCTACGAGTTGGTAGAGGAAACCTGGCGCACTGTGCACAGTGGATTCTGGTCAGGCCCTGAGCTCAAGGGGAAAGAATCCCATGATTGATTACTGATGTCTGTCATGCACGTGCGGGCCGGGTGACAGGGTAGGGTGAAAGAGAGTAGCAGCCCCAAGCCATACGTTTGCCATCCTGATCTAGAATTTCCACCATTGCTCCTTTTCTTGTGCATGTCTTGACTGTTTTTAAGGGTGAGAGCTCCCCTGTTTTCAACAGCTCAGTTCTGACTCCGTAATTTCTCACCCACCCCAGCCCTGAATGGTGCAGTCTGCTCCTCTGAGCCCCAACACTCTTTTCTCTGCTGTTCCTTTATTATTTACCATGTAGCATTTTGGTTTTTAAAAATCTTTCTGGCCTCCTTTCCACACATATAGGCAGAACATGCCTTCAGGGTAGATTTCACCTTAGAGAACTAACGCAGGAAAGTGCACAGAGTTGCAAATCAGAAAATCTGAACTTGTTGTGAATTTGAGCTCATCGCTTTGCCTTTTGGAGTCTGTTTCCCCAGCTGAAAAGCAGAGCCCTAAGATGGCTTTGCAGCCCATGGTATCCCAGGGCTGTGGTGAGAATCAGCATTTCACTGGGCTCTGTGGAGAGGAAAAGCTTTCATGTTTGGCCAGTCGCGGTGGCTCACGCCTGTAATCCCAGCACTTTGGGAGGCCAAGGTGGGCGGATCACCTGAGCGTCAGGAGTTCAAGACCAGCCTGGCCAACATGGTAAAACCTCATCTGTACTAAAAATACAAAAATTAGCCAGGCATGGTGGCGGGCGCCTGTAATCTCAGCTAAGCAGGAGGCTGAGGCAGAAGAATCGCTTGAACTCACGAGGCAGAGGTTGCAGTGAGCTGAGATTGCGCCAGTCTACTCCAGCCTGGGTGACAGAGTGAGACTCCATCTCAAAAAAAAAAAAAAAAAAAGCGTTCATATTCTCATTGCATGTCCATGTACCCCCTCCTGCCACCAGGTCTCAAACTGGAGCTTCTGCAGATGCTCAAGATGCTTTTTCAGCAAGGGGGTAGTAGGATGAGGCTTCCAATGGGAGCAGTGGGCATTTGGCAGGCATTGACAACAAGCAGAGTTCGGAGAATGGAAAAGAAAAACCAACTTTTCTCGCCTTAAACCGGCAATTGCAAAGTTGAGAGCTAGGAAAGCTAAATGCTGCCACCTGCCGGTCATTTTCTACGTTAGCAGCATCAAAGTAAACAGTTTTATAAAGCTCTTGTTTATTTTTTATTATATTTTATTTTATTATTATTATTATACTTTAAGTTTTAGGGTACATGTGCACATTGTGCAGGTTAGTTACATATGTATACATGTGCCATGTTGGTGTGCTGCACCCATTAACTCGTCATTTAGCATTAGGTATATCTCCTAATGCTATCCCTCCTCCCTCCCCCCACCCCACAACAGTCCCCAGAGTGTGATGTTCCCCTTTCTGTGTCCATGTGTTCTCATTGTTCAATTCCCACCTATGAGTGAGAACATGCGGTGTTTTGTTTTTTGTCCTTGCGATAGTTTACTAAGAATGATGATTTCCAATTTCATCCATGTCCCTACAAAGGACATGAACTCATCATTTTTTATGGCTGCATAGTATTCCATGGTGTATATGTGCCACATTTTCTTAATCCAGTCTGTCATTGTTGGACATTCGGGTTGGTTCCAAGTCTTTGCTATTGTGAATAATGCCGCAATAAACATACGTGTGCATGTGTCTTTATAGCAGCATGATTTATAGTCCTTTGGGTATATACCCAGTAATGGGATGGCTGGGTCAAATGGTATTTCTAGTTCTAGATCCCTGAGGAATCGCCACACTGACTTCCACAATGGTTGAACTAGTTTACAGTCCCACCAACAGTGTAAAAGTGTTCCTATTTCTCCACATCCTCTCCAGCACCTGTTGTTTCCTGACTTTTTAATGATCGCCATTCTAACTGGTGTGAGATGGTATCTCATTGCGGTTTTGATTTGCATTTCTCTGATGGCCAGTGATGATGAGCATTTTTTCATGTGTTTTTTGCCTGCATAAATGTCTTCTTTTGAGAAGTGTCTGTTCATATCCTTCGCCCACTTTTTGATGGGGTTGTTTGTTTTTTTCTTGTAAATTTGTTTGAATTCATTGTAGATTCTGGATATTAGCCCTTTGTCAGATGAGTAGGTTGCGAAAATTTTCTCCCATTTTGTAGGTTGTCTGTTCACTCTGATGGTAGTTTCTTTTGCTGTGCAGAAGCTCTTTAGTTTAATAAGATCCCATTTGTCAATTTTGGCTTTTGTTGCCATTGCTTTTGGTGTTTTAGACATGAAGTCCTTGCCCATGCCTATGTCCTGAATGGTAATGCCTAGGTTTTCTTCTAGGGTTTTTATGGTTTTAGGTCTAACGTTTAAGTCTTTAATCCATCTTGAATTAATTTTTGTATAAGGTCTAAGGAAGGGATCCAGTTTCAGCTTTCTACATATGGCTAGCCAGTTTTCCCAGCACCATTTATTAAATAGGGAATCCTTTCCCCATTGCTTGTTTTTCTCAGGTTTGTCAAAGATCAGATAGTTTTAGATATGTGGCATTATTTCTGAGGGCTCTGTTCTGTTCCATTGATCTATATCTCTATTTTGGTACCAGTACCATGCTGTTTTGCTTACTGTAGCCTTGTAGTATAGTTTGAAGTCAGGTGGCATGACACTTCCAGCTTTGTTCTTTTGGCTTAGGATTGACCTGGCGATGCAGGCTCTTTTTTGGTTCCATATGAACTTTAAAGTAGTTTTTTCCAATTCTGTGAAGAAAGTCATTGGTAGCTTGATGGGGATCGCATTGAATCTATAAATTACCTTGGGCAGTATGGCCATTTTCACGATATTGATTCTTCCTACCCATGAGCATGGAATGTTCTTCCATTTGTTTGTATCCTCTTTTATTTCACTGGAAGCTCTTGTTTAAATTCAGTAAAGACCCAGAGGGAGGAGGTGGCATTTACTGAGCACCTCCTGTTTATAAGGAACTGTCTTCAAGTGTGCCATGGGTACAGACATAAATTAGCACCGGATATTGCTGATAAAGAGAGCACAGATTCCAGAGAGCCAAGGCTGCCTCTCAATGACTACATGCCTTAGGTTCACCCTTCAACCTCTCTGAACTTCAGTTTTCTCAACAGGTAGATGGACCAGGGTGCCCTCTAAGGATCCCAAGGAAGGGCCTTAAAAGATGAAGAGGATGTTGACAGACAGTTACTGAGAAGGAAAAGAGGAGGGCATCCTATGCAGACAAAGAGGAGGGTTTCAAGGGAAGTCCTGACATGTGTCTCCTTCCCTCGTCCCCTTGTTTGTGAAGCCGAAGGGTAAGTTCCTGATCTTTAAGCGCCTGTCCACCTGTGACTTCTGGTCAAGGGAAGGGACAGAGGAGTTGGAAAGACTTCTTGAAGGAAGAATGAAACAAACACCTGTGTTGTAGGATCCACCAACTTTAAGAAATGGAACCATGTAATTACCTTTAAAGTATTCTATAATTTATTTACACATTATTGTATATTTTGTTTACAACATTCTACTGTTGATGGACATTTAAATTATTTCCCATTGTCTCCAGGTTTATTTGTTTTTCTGGCTTGGACATCCATATGCATACATTTTTTCTTCTTCTTCTTCTTCTTCTTCTTCTTCTTCTTCTTCTTCTTCTTCTTCTTCTTTTCTTTTCTTCTCCTTCTCCTTCTCCTTCTCCTTCTCCTTCTCCTTCTTCTTCTTCTTCTTCTTCTTTTCTTCTTTTCTTCTTCTTCTCCTTCTCCTTCTCCTTCTCCTTCTCCTTCTTCTTCTTCCTCTTTCTTTTTTGTTTTTGAGACAGAGTCTGTCTCAAAAGACCCTGAGACTGTCACCCAGGCAGGGGTGCAGTGGCATGATCACAGCTCCTTGCAGCTTTGACCTTCTGGGTTCAATCGCTCCTCCCCTCTCAGCCTCCTGAGTAGCTGAGACTGCAAGCATGTACCACCATGCCTGACTAATTTTCGTATCTTTTTGTAGAGGCGAGATTTTGCCACGTTGCCCAGGCTGGTTTTGAACTCCTGGGATCAAGCAATCCTCCCGCCTCAGCCTCCTAAAGTTCTGAGATTACAGGCATAAGCCACTATAACCAGCCATGCATGCATTTCTGTCAATTACATACCCAGGGATGAAACTCTTGGATTGTAGAGGGTGTACATTTCCAACTTTATAGATCATCACGATTTGTTATCCAAAGAGGTTGCACTAATTTAAACTCGTGTCAAAAGTATGTGAGTTCCTATTGTTACAGGTAGCTAGTCAGGCATGAGCAGGGCAGGAGAGGGCTCGACCCCCACCCCCCCACCAGTAATGTCACCAACCATCAGGCAATTGTTAAACTGTCTCTAATAATGGGTCGCAGCCTGCACCAGGGAAAGGCCGTCTCCTAATAGATAGAACAAACTTGAAACTGGTGATCAGCAGCTTCCCGATAAGATCTCAGGAGTTGGGTGAGTGGGCTCAAGCATGCACACTAAGAGGCAAAATGGTGGAGTTTAACTTCTAGGGACATTCACCTGGTAGGGGAAGAATGCCTCAAGTGAGCATGCACACAACTCCAGTAAACACACTGCGTGCTCACCGCCCAACTGCTAGCAGACCACTGCACACGTGGACAGACCACTGCACACGTGGACAGCCCACTCCCAGGGAAGAATCAGGGGAGAAGGGATGTACAACCCTGGAACTATGTCAACAGATAAAACCCCAAGTCAAAGGTCAAACAGTGCACTTGATCTCTCAAGTCGCCCCCTGGCCCTTTTCCAAGTGTACTTTACTTCCTCTTAGTCCTGCTCTAAAGTTTGTTGTTGTTGTTGTTGTTGTTGTTGTTGTTTTGAGAGGGAGTCTTGCTCTGTTGCCCAGGCTGGAGTGCAGCGGTGCAATCTCAGCTCACTGCGAACTCTGCCTCCCGTGTTCAAGTGATTCTCCTGCCTCAGCCTCATGAGCAGCTGGGATTACAGGTACCTGCCACCATGCCCAGCTAATTTTTTTTTTTTTTGTATTTTTAGTTGAGATGGGGTTTCACCATGTTGGCCAGACTGGTCTCAAACTCCTGACTTATGTGATCTGCTCGCCTCGGCCTCCCAAAGTGCTAGGATTACAGGCATGTGCCACCGAGCCTGGCCTAGTTTTTTAATAAACTTTCACTTCTGCTCTAAAACTTGCCTTGGTCTCTCATTCTGCCGTATTATGCTGTTGGTCAAATTCTTTCTGCTGAGGAGGCAAGAATTGAGGTTGCTGCAGCCCCCTAGGGATTTGCCACCAGTAACACTATGATTCACTGGAAAGGCTTGAAATTGTCAGATTTTTAAAGGTTTGCTAATACAGTGGGGTAAAATGGTGTCTTACTGAGTTTTCACTTATTTTTAATACAGATGAATTAATGTATGGGGCAGGGGAGAGTCAGTGATTTCCCAGCCTCCCAATGGGGTATAGAAGCTGACATACCATTTTTCACAGGGTAAGGAGGAGATAGGGAATGTAGACAATTCTTTTGAGGGGCAGCAAGTGATGGTTAGGGAGAATGATCAACCCAGGAGACAGAAATTAACTGTAAATGATTCGCTTTGGAATTGGAGCCTGAGAGGCAGGCATTATGTTATGGAAAAGACCATCCATCCATGTGTGGTTGCATTCTTCACTCTTCTTTTCATTTCCCAGCTTCTAGGATGTCCCAGTGTCTTCCCTGTGGATCTCCCAGTACCTGCAGGTCACAGAGTAACACAGGCTGTGGCAGAGTCACCTGGGCCTCCCAGAGCAGGGAAGACTAAGCACTGGACACCAAATTTTTCCACAATTAAAAATACACATGGCCGGGTGCGGTGGTTCACGCCTGTAATCCCAACACTTTGGGATGCTAAGATGGGCGGATCACATGAGTTCAGGAGTTTGAGACCAGCCTGGCCAACATAGTGAAACCCTGTCTCTACTAAAAATACAAAAATTAGCTTAGTGTGGTAGCATACACCTGTAATCTCAGCTACTCGGGAGGCTGAGGCAAGAGAGTCACTTGAACCCAGGAAGCGGAGATTGCAGTGAGTCGAGATCACGCCACTGCACTCTCCAGCCTGGGCCACAGAGCAAGACTCCATCTCAAAAAAATAAATAAGTAAAATAAAGAAAAAAATACACATGTATTCATACAAGTGTTGATATTTTGAGTTTTTTTTGTGAAAATATGTTTATTTCATTTGTCTCTTTTTCTATTATCTTTTTTCTTATTAATATGTAAGATTTAAAATATATATTCTTTGCCAGACGCAGTGGCTCATACCTGTAATCCCAGCACTTTGGGAGGCTGAGGCGAGAGGATCATTTGAACCCAGGAGTCCGAGACTAGCCTGGGCAACATAGTGGGACCCACGTCTCTACAAAAAATAGAAAAATTAGCTGAGCGTGTGTCATGTGCCTGTAGTCCCCGCTACTTGGGAGGCGGAGGTTGGAGGATCACTTGAGCCTAGGAGGTCAAAACCACAGTGAGCTACGATTGCACTACTACAGTCCAGCACGGGTGACAGAGTGAGACATCATCTCTAAATAAATTAATTAAATATATATCCTAGAAACAACTCCCTTATCAATTATGTGTATTGTAAATCTTACATCCCATTCTGTAGCTTGCCCTTTTACCTTCTTATAGTGTCATTTGAAGAATAGAAGTTTTTAATTATAATATAACTGTGGTAGGCAGAATTCTCACGACCCTCACCCTTTTAAGATGCCCCCCTGAAGAGTGGACAGAACCTGTGAATATAGCAGGATGTCACTTCTGTGATCATGCTGCATATATGGCAAAAGAAATTTTGCAGGTGTAACTAGGATTACTAATTGGTTGCATATGAGTTAATCAAGAGGGAGATTATCTAGGTGGGCCCAACCTCATCACATGATCCCTTCAATCTGGGGTCTAGGGACCAGAGACAGAAAACTTCAGAGAGTGTCAAATTGCAGGAAAAACTTGGCAAGCAAATCTGGCTGGTGTTTTTAGTTGTTTGTTTGTTTGTTTGTTTGTTTTTAAGACAGGGTCTCACTCTGTGGCCCAGGCTGGAGTGCACTGGTGCAATCTCCACTCACTGCAACCTCTGCCTCCCAGGTTCAAGTGATTCTCGTGCCTCAGCCTCCTGCATAGCTGGGACTATAGGCACGTACCACCACTCCCAGCTAATTTTTGTATTTTTTTGTAGAGACAGAGTTTCGCCATGTTGGCTAGGCTGGTCTCAAACTCCTGACCTCAAGTGATCCACAGGCCTTGGCCTCCCAAAGTGCTGGGATTACAGGCAGTGAGTGAGTCACTGTGCCTGGCCAAGGCTGACTTTGAAGATGGAGGAGGCTACGTGCAGATGCCCTCCAGGAACTAAGAGCAGGTCCTGCCTGATAGCCGACAAGGACCTAGACAAGGACCCCGAGACCTCCATCCTACAACTTTAGGGAGATGAACCTGTCACAAGCATGTGAGCGTGAAAGAGGACTCAGGGCTCCAGGTGAGAACACAGCCCTGCTGGCACCTTGATTGAAGCTGGCAAGACCCCAAGTGGAAAGCTCAGCCACACCACGCCTGGGCCTCTGGCCTACAGATCCACAAGCTAACAGTTGGCTTTAAGCTGCTAAATTTGAGGATTGGTTGTGTAGCACTGGCAAACAAACATAGTAGTTGTATTCATCAGCATTTTTCTGTATTTATTTCACCTTCTGAGCTTAAAAAAATCATTCTTGGAAGGCTGGGCGCAGTGGCTCATGCCTGTAATCCCAGCACTTTGGGAGGCTGAGCTGGGTGTATCACTTGAGGTCAGGAGTTCAAGACCAGCCTGGCCAACATGGTGAAACCCCATCTCCACTAAAAATACAAAAATTGGCCAGGTATGGTGGTGGGTGCCTGTAATCCCAGCTACTTGGGAGGCCTAGGCAGGAGAATCACTTGAATCCAGGAGGCAGAGGTTGCAGTGAGCCAAGATCACACCACTGCACCCCAGCCTGGGTGACGGAGGGAGATTCTGTCTCAAAAAAAAAAAATCATTCTCATAATTGATATTTTCTTCTAAAATTTTTACAGTTTAATTTTTCACATTTAAGTATTCCAAATCAAATTTTTTCTATGGTATGAGGTAGAGCTCTGGTTTCTCTTTTCCCCCATAATGATAACAATTTTTCCTGGAACTACTTATTGAAGAGCCCATCATTTCTTCACAGATCTGCAATTACAATTCAGTCATGAATCCAATTTCTATGTAAAGGAGCGTTGGTTTCTGGCCTCTTTATTTTGTGTCATTATTTAACTTGTCTATCACGGTGTAATTGTGTAAACCAGTCTGCCTTAATTACTGTAGCTTCCTAGTTATCTGCTAGATGTCTGCTAAAGTAACTTCCTCATCTTATTCTTCAAGAGTATCTTGGCTTTTGGCTTTTTCAAATAAGATTTAAAATAGATTATCAAATTTCATTACAGGCTCACTCCTGTAATCCCAGCACTTTGGGAGGCTGAGGCGGATGGATCACCTGAGGTCAGGAGTTTGAGACCAGCCTGGCCAAAATGGGGAAATCCTGTCTCTACTAAAAATGCGAAAATTAGCTGGGTGTGGTGGCGTAAGCCTGTACTGCCAGCTACTAGGGAGACTGAGGCAGGAGACAGGAGAATCACTTGAACCTGGGAGGCGGAGATTGCAGTGAGCTGAGATCACACCTTTGCATTATATCCTGGGCCACAGAGCAAGACTCCGTATCAAAAAAAAAAAAAAAAAAGCTGTTAGGATTTGTTTGAATTATAGTACATGTTGTAGCTATAAATCAGTTGGGAGACTGACATCTTCAAAAGACTGAATATCCCAATCTATAAATATGGCCCTATCCTTTTCAAACTAATGCAGGAACAGAAAACCAAACACTACATGTTCTCATGTATAAGTGAGAGACAAATAATGAGCACACATGGATGCATAGAGGGGAACAACAGACTCTGGGGCCTATGGGAAGATGGAGGGTGGGAAGAGGGAGAGGAGCAGAAAAAATAACTAGTGGGTACTGGGCTTAATACCTGGGTGATGAAATAATCTGTGCAGCAAACTCCCATGACGAGAGTTTAACTATGTAACAAACCTGCACATGTACTCCTGAACTTCAAATAAAAGCTAGAATATGACCTGCGTCTCTTTTGCCTAAGACTTCTTTAATGTTTTTCTCTTGTTCTTGTTGTTTTTGTTTTTGTTTTGTTTTTGAGACACAGTCGCATTCTGTTGCCCAGGCTAAAGTGCAATGGCACGACCTCGGCTCACTGCAACCTCTGCCTTCCGGGTTCTAAGAGGTTCTCCTGCCTCAGCCTCCCCAGTAGCTAAGATTACAGGCACATGCCACCATGCCCAGCTACTTTTGTATTTTTAGTAGATACGGGGTTTCCCCAAGTTGGCCACGCTGGACTCGAATTCCTGACCTCAGGTGATCCACCTGCCTCAGCCTCCTAAAGTGCTGGGATTATAGGCGTGAGTCACCATGCCTGGCCTCTTTAATAGCTTTCATAAAGATATATAATTTTTTCCACTTACACATCTTTTGTTAAATTTATTTTTAGGCATTTTGTATCCTTTATTGTAACCATAAATGGTATCTTTTTAAAATTTGTCTTTTCTGTTTGTGGCTGCTAGAAGTACGAATGATTTTTATATTTTGTATCCCACATTCTTGCTGAATATTCTTATCCATACTTTAAAAAAAAAAAAATTTGAGATGGTCTTTCACCACGTTGCCCAGGCTGGTCTCGAACTCCTAAGCTCAAGCAATCCTCCCACCTCGGACTCCCAAAGTGCTGGGATTACAGGCATGAGCTACTGCACCAGGCCTAAATATTCTTATCCATTCTAATAACTTAGCTGTAGATTCTCTTTGCCTTAATTTCTTTAATAGATATAGGATAATTTGGATTTTGTAATTTGTGTCTTTTGAGGAAATTTGTCAGTTTCATCTAGCTGTCAAGTTTATTGACTTGAAGTTGTTTATAATATTCTTTTATTTTTAATATCTGTAGGATTTAATTGATATCTTCTTTTTGTTCTCAAAATTGGACATTATGTCTTTTTTCCTGACGAGTCTTGCTGGAAGTCTTGTTTTGTTTCTGCTAGGATTTTATCATGTAGTTGTGTTGTATTGTCCATGAGTTTTTGGTTTTGTCATCTAGTTACTCCGTTGGTGTGTGATGATGAGGGGAGATTTAAAAGTGACGTCATCGTCATTGCTGCCATTTTCTAGAAACCTACGCTTTTATTTTTGAAGTATATTTCAGTGGGTAGAATTTTATGTTGGCAGATTTTTTTCATTTCAACATGAAAAATGTCATTCCGTGGGTTTCTGGCTTCTGTAGTTTCTGATGAAAAGTCCTTCTCCTACTTATTGTTGTTTCTTTGAAAGTAATATGTCTTTTTTTCCTCTGGCTTCTTTTGAATGTCTCCTTTTATCTTTTTTTTAGCAATTTAATCACGACTTTTTTTCTATTCACCTGCTTAGGATTTGCAGACATTCCTGTCTGTGAATTAATGTCTTTTATTTGTTTTGAGATTTGTGGGGGAACATTTTCTCTTTTTTAAAATTTCCTTTTATTTTTATTTTTATTTTTTTGTTGTTGTTGTTGTTGTTGTTGTTGTTGTTGTTGTTGTTGTTGTTGAGACAGAGTCTCACTCTGTCACCCAGGCTGGAGTGCAGTGGTGCGATCTTGGCTCACTGCAAACATCGCCTTCTGGGTTCATGCCATTCTCCTGCCTCAGCCTCCCAAATAGCTGGGACTACAGGCGCCCGCCACCACACCCAGCTAATTTTTTGTATTTATGGTAGAGACGGGGTTTCCCTGTGTTAGCCAGGAAGGGTTCGATCTTCTGACCTTGTGATCCACCTGCCTCGGCCTCCCACAGTGCTGGGATTACAGGCATGAGCCACCGTGCCCGGCCTATTTATTTATGTTTTTTGAGACAGAGTCTCACACTGTCGTCCAGACTGGAGTGCAGTGGTGCAATCTTGGCTCACTGCAACCTTCGCCTCCCAGGTTCAAGCAATTCTCCTGCCTCAGCCTCCAGAGTAGCTGGAACTACAGGCACCCACCACCATGCCCGGATAATTTTTGTATTTTTAGTAGAGGTGCTCTCTACCTCCTGTTATGGAGGAGGTAGAAACTGGTCTCAGTCTGGTCCAGTCTGGTCTCAAACTCCTGACCTCAAGTGATCTGCCCGCCTCGGCCTCCCAAAGTGCTGGGATTACAGGTGTGAACCACTGTACCCAACCCCATTTTCTCTTTAAATAGAGGTACTGTTCCACTTCCTTTCTGGTTCTGGGACTCTAATTCCTCACAAGTTAGACCTGTCTGGTATGTTCCACGTCTCTTGTTAACTTTCCTATATTTCCCATCTTTTTCTCTCTCTCTCTAACCTTCAATTTCAGTGTTTTCTACTAACCTAACTTCCACTTCTTTAATCCTCTCTTCTGTTTTGTCTAATTTGCTGATAAATCCATCTATTGGGTTTTTAATTTCTGTTATTTTCTCAATTCTATATTCTTTTTAATCCTTAAAAAATAAAGTCCAGGTATTTGGTGAAATTCTCTATATTTTCTTGTTATTTTATTTTATTTTTTTGAGACAGAGTTTCACTCTTGTAGCCCAGGATGGGGTGCAATGGTACGATCTCAGCTCATGCAACCTCTGCCTCTTGGGTTCAAGCAATTCTCCCATCTCAGCCTCCCAAGTAGCCGGGACTACAGGTGTGCACCACCACACCCGGTCAATTTTTGTATTTTTGGTAGAGATCGGGTTTTACCATGTTAGCCAAGCTTGTCTCAAACTCCTGACTTCCAGTGATCTGCCCACCTCAGCCTCCCAAAGTGCTGGGATTACAGGTGTGAGCCACTGCACCCCACCAATATTGACTTTTTAAGCTATGTAATAGATTGACACTCACCATAAGCCTCTGCCCTTGTTCTGCAGGTCGTGAAGGTGTTGATTGTCCTGACCCCACAGTTTCTGTCCCGTGACAAGGACCAGCTGACCAAGGAGCTGCAGCAGCATGTAAAGTCAGTGACAGTCTCATGCAAGTCCCCAAGGAAGGTGAGTGAGGGCAGATGGAAGGGGTCTGGTGCCCCTGAATAGCTCCCAGTGCTTCTGCCCCATGTCTCATAGGGTGGCTGTGCAGGGGAAAGCTTAGGCAGTCACAGTACTGGCTTTTTCTTCTGCAGAAGAAGGAATTTGGTTTAGGGATGGGATGGCATAGTTGATTTATTTGGATGGAAATTGCTATCTTGTGTAAGAAACGCAAAAGGAATCATTGCTGGCATGTTAACCTAAAGACAAAAATCAGTCAAGTGCCCAAGGATATTTTTAAAAAGGTTATTTATAGTCCTGTACAAATTTAAAAAAAAAATCCAAATCAGCAGCTTTCAAACTTTTTCTAACATGATTCATAGGAAGAAATATGTTCTGTTTTGCAACTCAAAATATATATACATACATATAACAAACAAAAATTAGTAGAATGATATTTATCTTTATAAATGCAATGCATTCTGATATGTTTATTTTAATTCAATGCCTTGTGCAACCTACAAAAAGTCAAACAATAGAGAAATAAGGTTTTCATAAAATTGAATATAACCCTGCAATTTAAAATAATGATTCAGTTTTTTATATATTTAACATATATCTCAACACATATTAAGAGAAAAAAGCGTACTGTGAAAAAGTATACGTGGTATTATCCTACCCGTTTGAAAATAAAGTGCAAAGAGATACATATGCCAAAAAGTTAACACTTCCTTCTTTGTAATACTTTGCTGCAGTGTCTGAGTATTTACAGTCAATACACATTATGAAGCTACATGGCTAACCTTGACTGAGTACTCACTGTGTGTGCCAGCCCCTAGGCTCAATGCTTTACATGGATTTTTATTTCATTAAATCCTCTCCTCCACCTGAGATAGCATAGCAAACCATTTTACAAAAACAAAACTGAGGCTCGGAGACTCAAAGTCAAATGCCCGAGGTTGCAGTCATTAAGAGGCAGGGCTGAAACTGAAACCTATGTGTGTCTGACAACAAGTTCATGTTCTGAGGGTAGGCTAGCCTGCTTCACAGAGCATGAAATAGATGGTGCATGCCTGCTACGATGGGCCAGATATCACTGTAGGTTCAGTGGACAGCCCCAGACAATGGAAATTTACAACACTGAAGGTTCTTATCCTGCTCATGCGGCACGTCCACCATGGCTCTGCTGGGCCTTGTGCTTCACATCCCCTCATCCACCAACAGGATAAAAGGAGCAGCCTCCACCTGTCAGCTTCTCTAAGAGATGGAGGAGAGGGTGGCCAGTCTCAGTGGCTCCCAACTCTTCTGTCTTGAAGTGACACGCTTCACTTCCACTCACAGGTCCTGAGTCACATCACACGGCTACATCCACCTTCAAAGGGTCAAGGGGAGAACCTGACACACTCGGTGGATTCCATTAAGGCCACCATATGGTGTCAGCCTGTGTGGGAGACTGTGGAGGGGCAGAGGAGGAGGGTAGGGAATTGGTAAGTCACTGTGGATTTCCCTTATACTTAACCAGATGGAGTTTGTCCCGGAGCTGCCGAAAACTGTCACTGGAAAGATTAAACAAGGTGAACTTGAGAAAAGGAGCTTGGTCAGATGTAATCAGCAGTGAACTCGGAACCAACTGGCACCTTCGGCAAATCCCTGGCCACTTCAGTCTCCCCACTAGGGCGGGGTGATGATGAGACATTGAGAGGGTTGATTTGGAAAAGCATCAGGAGGGCCACAATTCCAATGTTTTTCTTTTCTTTTTCTTTCTTTTCTTTTTTTTTTTTTTTTTTGAGACAGAACTTCATTCTTGTTGCCCAGGCTGGAGTGCAGTGGCGTGATCCTGGCTCACTGCAACCTCCGCCTCCTGGGTTCAAGCCCTTCTCCCATCTCAGCCTCCTGAGTAGCTGGGACTGCAGGTGCCCGCCACCACACCCAGCTAATTTTTGTATTTTTAGTAGAAATAGAGTTTCACCGTGTTGGCCAGGCTGGTCTTGAACTACTGTCCTCAGGTGATCCACCCACCTCAGCATTTCAAAATGCTGGGATTTCAGGCGTGAGCCACCGCACCCGGACTGTTTTTGTTATTTTAAGTTACATTCAGTTACTCTGCTTCCTCCAAGTCCTCTCTGTGTCTTTAGAATTTCCCAGGTGAGTACACAGATTGGAGTTCCAGGTAATAAAATATTAATTTCGACAATACCCTGTGTGAAGCATTTGTTCTGGGAATGAACCTATGTTAAATGCCCTCCTTCTGTAGTTCTCCCTAATCCACAACCTGAAATATGTTGAGACCAGATTCTCCCTCCTGGCACCAGTTTCTCAGGGTAGCCCTAAGCACCCTTCAATGGCCAAGACACAGGGGTCCAGGAGGTGTGCCCCATGTGGCACCGGGCACGTGCCTGTGCCCTGGAGTGAGGCCCCAGGAAGGCCGGGGCAGGGCAGATGTCCTGGGTGGTCAGCCTTGGCTTGGGGACTATATTTGCCTGCCAGACCACCGCTGCCTCCCCCACCCAATGGTCCTTTGTGTCCCCCAATAGTGCCCATGTGCACATGTGCCCCAGCCTAAACCTGGCATGTGTGAGTGAGGGCCTCAGCCTCTGGGCACCCAGCACTCCTCTAGCCCTGCCCCTAGCTATCCCCTGTAGTCACCTACACATCAGACCTTCCAAGTGGCCCAGGAGCTCTGTCCCCGAGCCCTTCCTAGAGGACCTCACTCATTCACCCTCCCAGGGCCCAGGCTCCCTCCAGCCCAGAATCCTCCCCCAACAGACAATCTTCCTTCTTTCAGTATAACTCTCTCCGGCGACCCAGAGTCCTCCTCACAACCCTGGCCTGGAGTCCTGTGACCTGACCCTTCATGCCATCCCTCCTTGGGGCCTAAGAGGGACCACCAGGGGGCCACCAGAGGCTCAGAAAAGCAGGGGCAGAAAAGGCCCTGCCGGGGGATGAGAGAAGCACATGCTGTCCCCTTCTCAGCCACTCCTGGAGGTCAGCATTGGAGAGGCCTCTCTGTGACTGCCAACTTCCGAGGTGCACAAACCCAGAAACTCACAGGGAGATAAACAGATACCGCAAGCACAGAGACACAGGGGCACAAAACCACCCCAGCTTCACCTGGGCACTCAGGAGTATGGCCCACGGACAGGCACATAAACACACACACCAGGAGGACACAGATACACACACAGAACCATGAGACACAGCCCCACAGGGCTGACTCTACACACAGTGGACACCCACGTGTGCGCACACGTGCTCACATACACACACACACACACACACACACACACACACTGGCACAGACCCACAGGCAGAGAATCAGACATAGAACACACACACTACACAAAACATAAACACACAAATACAAACACAATCAGGGACACCCAAAGGAGAAGCAAATTCACACGCACACACCTCAACACATACACAAAGATACAGAAGCCAGGTATACACAGACACTCTCACCGGGGGCACACATGCCAGAGACACACACATTACCCAATCAGAAACACAAACACAGATTTGCACAACCAACACACACTCATTCAGAAAGAAAGGACACCCAAATGCGTACAAAGATAGAGAAAAACACAGAGCCACCCTGAGACAGCTACACAGAGACATAATCACAGACACAGACACTCAGATGCACAGATGAATATATGCAGATTTACGCACCCAAACATGCACACACTCCCAGACCCCAGCCCACAGTACAACCAGAGGTGGCACTCCAGAGGGCAATCCTGGGACCAGCGGACAGAACAGACCCAGGCATGACCTGGCCCTCCTGAGCTCTCTTGGAAGAAAGTATTTTCCAGGTTTCAAACCCAGGGCTGGGGATGTGCCCCTTCCAGGGCCTACAGAAGGGCTGTGCCTGGGCCCAGAGATGTCAGAGAGAGGCCAGGGTTGGGTGACTCTGGGAACAGGAGCACAAGGTTGCGCCCAGTACCCTGTCTGGGTATGCTTAGAGTGGGGGTGTTATGTGGTGCTTAGGAGATCTAGAGGTCAAGAGAGAAAGACAGATGTGCCCCCAGAACCATGCCCTGTGCCTGAGTGGGCTGGCACTCTCTGCGTCACAATAATGCTATGAGGAACATGCTATGATATATCCCCATCATCACAGCTGTGACTGACCCTCACTCATAGATGGAGGTGCTGGGCTGGGAACACAGCCACCTGGTTGGACCTCATCTGAGCAGGACTGACCAGGGCAACACTGGGTCCTGGGCAAAGCATCTCTGTGGCCGCATCTTCCTGGGGAGTCTCCAGACCCAGGTTCCCCTTCTCCTAATGTCCCCTCCGATAATCAAGCTCCCCCAGATCTGTTTCTCTGCCTGGATACACCCCCTCCCCCAACCACTCTGAACCTACATCCCCATCTGTGTAAAGGAACAGTGATAGTACTTCAGGATCTCAGGAGATGATGCCTGCGAAGTGCTATGCTTAGCACAGTGGCGACAAGAGGGGCTGCTGTTGTCATCATCACTGCCTTTAGTGGCCAAGGACCTCCCAAGGTGCCAGTTCTGGGAAGAAAGATGCCCCTGGGAGGTTACAATGCTCAGGTACACAGCTGCTCAGCCACTTCCTGCTGTCTTCTGATAGTCTTTGCACACAGCCATTAGCACTCCAGTTGTACAGAAGGAATCCAGCCCAGCGTTGCACAGTTGGTCACCCAAGGTGCCTCGTCCTGCCAAGGGCCCCTGGCCAAGCCTCCAAGGGACCATGAGGGGCCCGCCTGCAAGGGAGGTTGACTCTGGCTTTGGGGAGGTGTTTCCTGGTTACATGAATGACTTCTTGTCTGAGGGCCCAAACTCTGTTCGCTTCTCCTTCCTTTCCCTCTCTCTGCTTGGGCTATAATCAAGGTGACCCCACAACACTTCATGGACATCACAGGTCTCCCATTCACTTTCAGGCTAATCTGACTTCAACTCCCCTTACTTGGTCTTTCCTTTTACAACCAAGACAACTCAAATCTGGGGGTCTTTATGCAGGTGACAGCACACAAATAGAATTTAATTCCATTGTTTTGTTGTCCCTGTTTTGTTTTGTTTTGCTTGTTTCTTAGGGTTTCTTTTTATTTATGGTAAAGGCATTGGCTTTCCATTTACAACGGTGATAGAATATTTCCTGTTTACAATAACCTTGTGTCATCATAAATGCTGAAGGGATTTAAAGCAGTGGTTTTAGGCTGCCAGAGGACTGAGTGAGTTTGGGCACACTCTGCATCATCAGGCAGAAGAAGGCCTTTGGGAAGTTTAGCTAAGGACAAGGCCAGCAAAGCTGATGGCCAGTTGGGGTGTCTCTCCTGGTCACCAGGCCCCTGGGTCCTGCCCACCTGCTTGACACTCCCCATCCATCACTCCTGGTGCTGCCAAGCCCTCTGGGTATTGTGGCCAAATCCTCCAGGAGAGAAGCTGATGAACTTTGTCTCTTGAAATACACAGATTCCTTGGACATCCCTGGGAGGTCAATCATGAGAGTCAACTTGGTTTTCTTTCCCTCATTAGGGTTCAAAGCTTAAAGTCCATGCTCACAGGCAGTAAGATGACATAGATAAGTGACATCATTACCCCGGTTCAGATGTTAAAGTGTCCAGGTGGATTAGGGATGATTTAAGACCACACAACCTTGTGCCACAAAGTGGAATTCCCAGGCCAGATGGAGACATTTTATTGCCGTATTATGATCTTATCATTGAGTGCAAAGGCAGTCTTGTTTCATTTTGGATTATTTCTTATGTTTCTGTCTTACTTATAAGGGCGTTGGAATTTCCAAGCATATGAGAATTTGTGGTTAGCTTTTTATCATTGACTTCTAGCATAATTATATGATCAGAAACACGCTATGTGATTTGATTTCTCTGAAATGATTGAGATTTGCTTGATGAACAAAATAAGTAGGGTTAATTTTTGTAAATGTACCATGTGTGCTTAAAATGAATGTATCTCCAACATTTATTCCCAATATACAAGGATGATGGACGGATGGCTACATGGAAGTGATGGAAATGGCTTACTATTCGGACCTTCTACATCCTACTGGTGTTTTGTTGCTTAGTACATGAATTGCTGAGAGGGGGCTGTGGAGCCTCCCACTCTGCTTGTCTATGAGGTTCTTCCTGCCTTCCTGCCATCATTTGTTTCTCATGTTTTGCAGCCAGGACTGACCATGAGGAACCCTGAGAACTCAAGAAGGAAGGAGCGGCCCAGAAGCAAGGACAGGAAGCTGGGTTTTGTAAAGCGTGTCTTGTGCAGATCACTGATTTACCCAAACCAGAAAGGGTCTTAAAGTGCTTATGATTGTCCAAATATAAAGAAATGACAGGTTTCTACTTTGAAAGTTTTCACCCTCACATTATAAAACCTCTCCACTACACTCAGGAGAGGGTGCTTTATGGAGATGAGAATATTTTTTCTGACTGGCATGCACCAGATTCTTAGGAAGAGATTTGGAAGTCTAGTGATGGGGAGCAACCACTGCATCCAGGCAGAATCACCCCACATGAATGCCTCCAATCAAAGAATCTATTGTTTCTTTTGAGGCTATGAAGGAGGAAATGTGTTGAGAATCTTTGTTGGAATTGTTTCCCCTTTACCTGGCTGCATTTTCATAGATCAGTTAAACTCTCTTTCCCTACCTCACCTTTGAAGACTTGGATACATTTTCCTCATTGCATTTTCTACTTTCACCCTTGCTCATGGCTATCGACTGTCAGAACCGAAGCTTTTACTGGCCCCATTGGACCTAATCTAGGTAGGAGCCCACTACTGATAACCTACAACCAGATAGTTGTCAGGTGTGACAAGAGTGCCCAAGATGGGGGATGAGTTCCTGGTCAATGACAAGATGGCCTTTATCCTTCTTGTACATTTGATCCACATCTTTAACCATTGTGCCCAGAGCTCCTACTCCTTTTCAGACAGAGGCTCCTCAGGGACAGTGCATCCCTCCCAGGAGCCCAGGCTGTACTCACCTCCACTGTGAGGCTGAAGACAAAAGTGCTACAGAGGTCAAAGGCTGCTTTCTAAAGAGGTTTTATTTGCACAAAACTGAGTCTTGGTGTGTGGATTGGTCTGAATTACATTTTGAATTTATTTTCTCCCCCAATACTTGTAAATCTAGTGCTTGTAAAATAGTATGTGTGCCTTTTGTGGTGGTGGCCATACATTCCAGAACATTTATATTGTTTTCCATGCAGATTTCCAAGGTTGCTACTGATTGCTTTAGGTGCAATGCTCTAAAATATGAAGGTGAACTCTTGTTACTGGTTATTTGGTGGGCTTTTTTTGATGGGGAGGATGGAGTCTCGCTCTGTCGCTAGGCTGGAGTGCAGTGGAGCCATCTCGGCTCACTGCAACTTTCGCCTCCCGGGTTCAAGTGATTCTCCTGCCTCAGTCTCCCTAGTAGCTGGGACTACAGGTGTATGCCATCATGCTCAGCTAATTTTTGTATTTTTAGTACAGACGGGGTTTCACCATGTTGGCCAGGATGGTCTCGATCTATTGACCTCGTGATCCTCCCGCCTCGGCCTCCCAAAGTGCTGGGATTACAGGCGTGAGCTACTGTGCCTGGCCGGTGTTGTATTTTTAACTAAATTCAATTCTCACAGTTTTAATCATAATTCCAAAAAGACTTTGTTATGCAAATTCTTTTTGACTTTGAAAATCTGACATGACGTGCGCTGTGTCAGCAGCAAAGTGAACACTGATTTTAGAAACTTGGGCTAAACAACCATCTGTGATTATTTTTGTTGGAATATAACCCAGGTATTATTATTATAGCAGCTGTCCACTCTCGGTTTTGCATAGATATAAACATATCTTTATGTCATATTTTCATCTATAACTTTAAGACTTTTTTCTTATATTTTTCTCATTCTTCCATCATACAGTGTGGACTCTTTTTTTATATATTACAAATAATGTAACACAAATTTCTAAATATTTATTTATTTATTGTTTTGAGACGGAGTTTCCTCTTGTTGCCCAGGCTGGAGTGCAGCTGGGTGGTCTTGGCTCACCACAACCTGTGCCTCCTGGGTTCAAGCGATTCTTCTTCCTCAGCCTCCTCAGCCTCCCAATTAGCTGGGATTACAGGCACCTGCCACCATACCCAGAGAATTTTTGTTTTAGTAGAGATGGGGTTTCTCCATGTTGGCCAGGCTGGTCACAAACTCTTGACCTCAGGTAATCCACCTGCCTCAGCCTCCCAAAGTGCTGAGATTACAGGCATGAGCCACTGCACCCACCCTCCACCTTGGTTATTTTTAAGCACTAAAATTTGATACTTATTTCTGAATGAAGTCATCTCTTAATTGTATTTTTTTACTTATATTCTTTAAATTGCAAAGATTCATGTAATTCAAGAAAGAAGTGGGATCCAGAGAGATTCCTTTATCATGTGATACATGACAAATACATTCAATGTTATATTTCAATCTAAAAAATAAGTAAATGACTTTAAAGATAATCACTTTATACCTAGTTTGTCCAACCCATGGGTGGCAGAGTGTATTCAACCCGGGACAGCTTTTCTGAATGCAGCCCAACACAAATTTCTAAACTTTCTTCAAACATTCTGAGATTTTTTTGTGATTTTTTTTCCTCATCAGTTATTGTTAGTGTACTTTATGTGTGGCACAAGACAATTCTCCTTCTAATATAGCCCAGGGAAGCCAAAAGACTGGACATGCCTGCTTCAGACCAAGAAAAAAGACAGCCCACATTTGCACGCCTAAATACACTACCATCCATGCAAGAAACATGAGACTGGAAATTTCCAATCTTTCCTGAAGCAGTGGAATTGCCCGGGGATATCTGAGGGGTGTGGTTACTTCTTGGAGGAGGTTAAGGGTTTCTAAGGATGATCCTTTGTAACTGAAATATTGTAAATGTCATTGAGCCTTCTCATTATGTCAACTAGTAGTATTCCATATCGTCAATTTTCTGCCTGGGCATTTTCATCCCGGGCCTGACTTTTTTGGAATTCCTTGGATGCTTATCATTATTGTTGTGTCCCTGGGAATTTACAAACTTGCCATTTTCTTCTGCAAAACTAGCCTTGGTGTGAGTACACTAACTTTCCCTAGAGGTGGACTTGTAATCACAAATAAGAAATTATTTAAAACAATTTGTGGTTCTGGACTTCATTATGAATATTGGGTTTTATTTAAAAAATCAGGAAATGATTTATTAGCATAAGAATTATGAAAAATCTGCCATTTAAATTATGGCAGATTTTTTAAATTTTTTTAAATTTTTAATTCAACCTATTTAATTAAAAAATTAAATAGGTTTGTGTTTGTTTAATAGAATGTCAACAGAGCTTTTGGTCAAAAATACGTTTTTTTAAGCCCTCTGCTCTTTATCAAAAACTGAAGTATAAAGTTTCAGCACTTAAATAAGAAATTCTTTCTAAACTTTTCTGCTTTATAGTTCTATTGTATGGGTGGAAGGAAAGCTTCCACTCTCCTCTCTAAAGGTTCACTGCAGCAATGTACTAACAACAGACAGCTTAACAGGAGAAGGAAAACATAGAACCTTATTAACAGGCATAAACATGGGAGCCAGCCAAAAAATGAGACTGCAAGAAGGGCCAGATGATTGATGCTTAATGAGCACCCTCTTCTCAGGGAAAAGGGAGATGGAGATGAAGGCAGGGCAGCAAATGATTATTAGGGGAAATGAAAGAGCCCAAGGAACAAACAGCTGGCCTGAGACAAAGTTCCTCTGAGATCATGAGGAAGAGGCGACAAACTGCAGGAAGGTCAAGGGCAGAACTGCACTGTGTCTCATGATGCAGAGAAAGCCCCAGAGAATCTCTTGGAACTGCCCTCCGAAGAATCAATGAAAAGTGTGTCTGGGCAGAGTAATGAGTGGTCATTTCAAATGGCATCATTCAAAGTACATGTTCTCGGTTGCCACTGGAGAGGGATCGGTATGTCAAAAGTCTGTACTGGTTAAGAATGTGGCTGCTAAATTGTGCCATAATTTGGCTTTTGAGCATTTTTGTCCATTGAGTAAATCGAGCTCTACGTTTTCTCTTGCTGTTCATGACAGTAAAAGTTTGGGTGTCTAGGGGCTTAAACATCTTCTGAACAATGATCCAAGAAAAAAGTGCTAACACCACAATGCTTTTTTATCCTCAAGGGAAGGGGGAGTATGTTTTATTTTTACAACCTAGATAATTACACATCATTTGGCACTGCCCTTCAACATACGTAGAAAACAGAAAATATATGAGTTCTGAAGATATCTAGGCACATTGAACAGTCTCTACTCAACTTAGTCCTGAAGAGAGAATTTTTGATGTGAACTGGGGGAAGTTTTTTAATGTACCACTTTTTAAATATTCCATTAAGAAAAGTTCAGTTGAGCTGTTTGACTTGAACCACTTTGCACCTTCTCATCTTTCTCCTTGTTATCTACTCCTCTATCCCATTATCTCACAAACCAGGACATCGTGAGTGCCATGAAATGTTCATGCCTCACGGTTTTTCTTTGCTTCTCATTTCTTCATGTGTTTGACATTTCTCCTAGCTGCAAACTGGGCCAGCTGCTTTCCCCATAAAATCTAGCGGTAGCTGTGGGGCGCATGCGGTTGCTCTTTCATCTTTTTAGATCACCCATTGCTTCTATCGAAATCCTAGTACATGTTTTTTTGGGTTTTTTTTTCTATCCTATGTGAAGAAATCAGAAAAAAAAGCATTCTACACAGAACTTTAAAGATGTTATTTCATTGAATACATCAGGAATTTCAGAGGTATATGACGTACATTTGCAACAGGATTTGCATTGCATATTAGCCAAGAAGAGAACAAATATTTCATGTCTTAGAAGATTCAACTCATATGCGGTCTATATGGAATTCTTTGTGGGAATTCAGTCATTACTGAGAATGTTTTGTGTTAGGTTCCAACCAGCCTCAGTGAAGCTGGTGTCAGGGAAGGGAAAGTGGGCTCTGAGTAGAGCATGGATGGAAAAAAGATGCTCCACAGAAGATCAGGAAGGAGCAGGGGGTGAAATGTTACAAATTCTTGAACTCAGAGAACTGAAGGTAGTTGCTTTCCTTTCAACCTGTGAAACATTTTAACCTGCGGTAAAATATGTATAACGTGATAATTACCATCTTAACCTTGTTGAAATGTACAGTTCAGTTGTGTGAAATATATTCACATCATTGTTCAATTATTGTTTTCTAGATGTCTTATCTCAAGTCTGTCTTACAGTCACAAAATGTCAATGACAGAACACGGATTTACAGGGGAAAGCCTGCAGGTCCAATAGCCGTAGCCAGGAAGGTATGCTATCTGTCAGAGTCCCCATAGTGTGGAAATGAGTTTGCCCTTTTAAGGGAAAGAACAGCTTCTGGCCCTCAGGTTTCTCCCCGTCTCCTCTCTACACCCTAACCAAGGGCTCAGGTCCACTTATATGCACACGAATAGAAGGATTTTATCCTTTGCAGGAATTAAAATGGACCCAAAATACCTCTTTACATTATGGAGATCTACAGAAGCTAAAGTGCAAGCCAAAGTCCAAAAGGTGATGATGAAGGTCAACAGTCATTGCGAAATCTCTGGGCAAAGAAAGACTGCCGAGGAAGAGTAAGATGTTCACTGACACAAACACTGTTGTATGAACCATGTGCCAACCAAAGTAGACAACTGCAATGTCCCCGAGAATATTTTCCACAATATTTGTGGCAAATTCAGTGGGTGCAAAACTGAGCTTGTCCTTCCTGCTTGATTAATCTTCGTGTTTCCTTTCCCTTCCTACATTCTTGATTGTAATGTTTTAGGGGCAAGCGGAGGTCCAGGTACTGGCATTGTTAAATTCAATGCTTGGGTCACCTCGGGATTCATTTTCACAGTCTTTTAGCTTTTGGTCATATGACATTGTATTTTTCCTGCCACATGACTAGTCTTTTTGGCTAAATGTAAGACACTCGTTAAAAATATTTAGCAATGAATTGAGGCCGACTAGCATGTTATCTTGCTGCAGAAAAGATGGGAGTCTATTTCTGGGGAATGGGCAGGGGTCCTAGCACACCTAGACACCCTCCATACCATCCGCAATTGAGGTTATCAGTGAGGTTCAGTCCCTACAAAAGTCAGGGTGTTTCCTGTCCACCTCTATTCCTGGCGTGTGACTCTTCTGGGTCCCAACCAAAGCCAGTGGACTTCAGTAGGGGTCACCGTCACTAGCAGACCCTCAGTCTACTTGTTTTCCATCTAGTCCTCCACATGGTGCAAAAGCTGCTCTGCTTCTTTACATCTCAGTTAGTCCCTTCTGAAATTCAGTGATGAAACTGAGGGAAATGAGCCCCAAATGTGAGGCTGACCTTCGTCCTGGGTTCCTTCTTCTCCATCTTGGCCTCATGTCTCTTTATTGCCATTTTAGCAATTTGGTGCTTTCAGTCATGGGTTTTAGATTCTGCCCCATGTCCCCATTGCTCTCATGGGAGATCAGAAGCTTCACATGCACTCATGTCTACTCCAGAGCAGAATGCTTCCTTAGCTTCCCTCCAGGCTCAGGTTTTGTGTTTCTAGTTCCCAAGTTCACAGCAGGAGTAGTGATGTCCTCACTGGCTTCTCATTTGCGTTAAACTGTGAACTCCTTTAGGGTGGGGACAGGACCCTGCTCCCATTGCATCCTCTGCACCTCACAAGACACTCCTTGCTTCAGGCCACTCCAGACACCGTGTGCTGAAGGGTGCCCTGGGTGGTCAGAAACAAGTGCATGAACTTTCTCTTTGAAGTGTTTTTGTCCCTGTTTCCTAGAGTTCTTGGCATTTTACACGTCTTTCTTTCTTTCTTTTTTTTTCATATTAAACTTGTAGTTTTATTCAGGTTTGATTTTAACAAATGTGTCGGGGAGAGAGCCCTCAGGGAAGGGTAAAGCCCATGGGGGCAGGGCCTTCCCAGATGCCTGAGGAGGGGGCAGGTCCCCTCCCCTCTCCTCCTCTTCCCTCCCCATCTAAAGGGGTTTGGGGAGAGACACAGGCAGGCGAGGGGGCTGGTCCCCAGTCTGTTGGGTGGTGCTCAGGGTAAAGGGCTATGGGCAACAGGGGACCAGACCAAGGATGAGTGGGGAGGGCACAAGGACCATTTGCCAGAATCCACTGCTTTCTGATTCCAGATTGAATTAAAAAAAAAAAAAAAAAAAAACTAAACCACAAGCAGCACCCACCCCCTTCTCCCCCACCAGGGCTGTAGTGTGAGGGGAGAAGAGGAGGGCAGCTTCACCAAGGCCACGGCTTTGCTCGCTCCTGGCCAAGGGAGCTAGGTGAAGGGCAGGGGCTCCCTGACAGATTGAGGGGGTGGGGAAAACCAAAATAAAACGTCAAATAAATTGTGTAGGAGGAGTCCAGCCTAGGACCAGGCCAGAGCCAGGCCAGGCTGGGGGAGGGGGCCTCTGCAGGTTCGGAGGATCACTGCTGCCACCACTGCCACCTTGGGAGCCAGTTATTTTGCCATGGCCTTGATTGCAACAGCTGCCTCCTCTGTCATGGCAGACAGCACCGTGATCAGGATCTCTTCTCCACAGTCGTACTTCTGCTCAGTCTCCTTGCCAAGGTCTCCCTCAGGGAGACGAAGGTCCTCTGGTACCTCCCCGCTGTCCTGGAGCAGTGATAGGTACCCATCCTGGATGCCAATCAGCTGGAAGTCATTCCTTCTGATGTTGGGGACATCCATATTATGAGTTGACGGGCAGATATCTTCATATTTCTTCCCAGTAAAGATGTCAATACCAACCAGATGGACCTTGGCGTGGCCGTGCTTGCCAGTCTTCGAAGCAGACATCTCCACGATCTTACATGGCCAGCCTTTGAGCACCACAAAGCCATTCTTACGTAATGCTGAGCACTGCATTGGGAAGGTGGCTGAGGCCCCTGCATCTCCTGTCTCGAAGTCCAAATCATCTGCCATTTTAAGAGGCTTCGATTCCAACTGGCGCAAACGGCACTGACTCGACCCCGTCCGCTCGCCGCGAGCCCAACCGCTGCCTCCGAGCCCGCCGCCGCCGCCGCCGCCGCCTCTACCCAGGCATTTTACACGTCTTTCATATGAAATCAAGTATCAAGTGAGATTTTTAGAATCAGAACCATGAATCAAGTAGTGTGAGGCAACACAGCAAACCCACCTTTTTAGGCCATTTCCTTTTTTCTGCCCTCAGTCTCTGTGAAACAAACCTTGTTAAAGTCTCTGGACACCAGAGGATGGTTTGCAGTTGTCACCTATTTTCAGGACATAACACCCTAACTAAAGAGCCATTGGATCATTTCCAATTCAGTAGATGCACCCAGCACTCAGATTGGCCTTTTCTCTCAACCAGGATCTTTAAAGTCGATGAGAAGAGTTCCAGTCCTGAATCATGGACATGTGCAGTAGTGAACCGCAGGGCTAATGACAGCATGTCCTGGAAGGATCTCTCTGAGGCTGATTGTCTGGGTTCTGGCATCAGCCTCTGATGGAGAATCAGGTCTCCCTGTGGGAGGAGTCAGACGAGGAGTGATCCGCTGCTCCGTCCTTATGGGTTTAGTTGTGATGAGCTGGTGAGGTCTGGTTTTCCACACTGAACTAAAATGAGCTTTCGCTATGTCAGGCAAAAGACTGATCCCAGAAGCACGCATAGCGCATCTCATAGAAGCTTTTAATAGTTCATATTTACTAAAGAGTAGGAATACAGAGCGATGAAGATGAGCTGGAAACGACAGGTGACTTGCCAGCAGGCCAGAATGTGCTTTTTCTTTGTCCCATGGAAGGTGTTAATTCTCTCTCCAGTTGTGAGGATCAGTTGGTTCATTTATGGGAAGGTTGTCAGGGGACCTTTGAATCACGGCCTTCAGATGCCACAAGGAATCCCACACAGGCCAGTGGATCACGTGCATGCATTTCTCTCCCTTCTCGACTCAGGAAGCTGAGAATGAAAGAACGTGAACGAGAAGAAAAGGAGAGGCGGCTGTCAGAGGTGGAAGAAACCATGAAATTGGCTCTAGAAAAAATACCCATCTGCAAGTGGGTTCAGAAACCGACACCAGCCTCTTGGGGAAGCGCTGGTGGAGTGTTTTGTTTTAAATCTTTGTACAATCTTTAGACCCAGTTAACACAGAAATGGAAACAAATGGTCAGAAGCGATACCTAGAGAGAGAGACAATTCACACAAGAGAACACACGTACCTTAAGATTTACTAGTGTTCAAAACATGTGAAGTAGCCAAACATCTCCTGACTGCAATGCCAGCCAGACTGTGTGGAAACTCGGTTCATACCAGCCGTTCTAGGGGTGATGCGAGTTGTCATCATCCTTAGGAAAGTGTGTTGTTGTAGGATCAACCCATCCTTCAAAAGGACTGTGCCTGTTTATAAGCTCAGCTGTTTCTGCCCTGTGAAATATGGCAAGGATATTAATTCCAGGAGAACAGAGCTTTATGATAAAAGATGCCCAATGAAGCATGAATTAGGGACATACTGAAAATGGGTAAGGAAATTGTCAACTCAGAACCCAGCAGGCATTAAGTAAAAGAGGAGGAAGCATTACAGCAACAGTTTTGATCATACTGTACTTTTATAGCCATGTGAAATACATTTTCTATGTATAGATAGATTGTGTAAGGGTACAATTGTGAGGACAACAGGAACATGGCAGATTATTTAAAATCATACTAAAGATGATGCTTTGTCTGATGAAAGTGATTCTAAACCATAGATAAACGATTCAAGACAGACAAGAGCTGCAGCAGTTGGTAGAGGACTCCTACAGATGAGAGGTAAGGAGCCTTCCTTCCTGCAGTTGCAGGATCCTTAAACGCTCATCAAGATGATGCCACTGCCCCTAGAATCTGTCAACATACATTTTCTCATGTGTTGGCTTTTTCAGATCGCCCCTTCTGCTGCAAGAAAGGCCTCAACAACTGGGTAAGTTTGTTCATTTTTCCCTTGCTTTTCGGCCAAGTCGGGACATGGATGTATTTTTCTCCCCACAGCTCTGTGCTCAAGCCTTGCAGAGGGAGATGGCAGAGAGGAAGGCTGCCGGCAAGCAGCACAGGTAGGTGATTGTGATGGACAAATTTTAAGGATGTTTTTGTTTTAAGATGAAGCTTTGACTGTCTAGTAAAGAAAACAGTGTTTTAATTCTTCTACAAGTCAACTCTTTCACTGTCTTCAAGACAGGAAATGATGGAAAAGCAGGGAGTGCTGGAGAGACACATGAGTCAGGAGGCAGCCCAGGGACAGCTAGGGCTAGAGAACCCTTTCTGGAGAGGTAGGAGCTCTCTGGGAAGGCACCCACTTAACTTCTGCTCCACAATCCACACCCCTGCTTCTCCTTTCTGGGGTGAGGGCTTGGGTTGGGTAATTGTTATGTTTCCTGGAAACAGTTCCAAGCACTTACTAAAGAGAACAGTTATCCCGCTGGGTGGCAGGACCGTTTTTCTCACGTGCCACAGCTGAATGACTCTTGGCTGGTCCCCTGTGAATAGCGGAGCACAGGCCCCTCCACTGACTGTGGACATCATTCCACCCTGATGTCTTGGTTACTTTTAACTGAGGGGATGAGCCTAGAAGGCAAATGGGTCAGCTCCCCTTCCAACCTTGAGTCAGTGGGAAGGCTTTATTTTTTTTATTATTATTTGAGAAAAGTAACACTAATAACATTTTAGAATGGGAGCCATAAGTGCTGATGAGAGCAGAAATTTTCTGGCTATGTCTTCATGGATCAATATTTCTTCTTTTCTTAAAGAATCAGAAGACATAGCCAGAAAACAGAGAAGACAAAGGTAAATGCTGGAGTCATTTTCCCTCTGCCTAGTTCAGGACAGTTTTGTCTTTTCCTACAGCGCCCTCTCCTGGCCTGTCCTCTGCTCTCTGGGTTCTGTGGTGCCTTTTCTAACTGGACTTTTTTGAAAGCAAAATCTTCCCCATGAGCTTTCAGGCTTCTCCATTTCCAGCTGGTCATCTTTGGTGGCACCTCCAGAAGCCATAAATGCTTAAGGGCCAAGGGCTGCAGGGCTGTCACTGTTCTGTTTCCAGAAATAACATGAGAGGATGCCATTGAACTCCACTGAGGTAGGTCTTATGGCCCAGTAGACCCTGACTGATCCCTTTTACTCAAGATGGTGTGGGATCCCCTTTCCAAAATATGTGGGGCTTCCTTTTTTTTTTTTTTTGCTGTGATTTTCTTTTCTGCTATGAGGTAAGTGATTAACCTTCAGAATATCCGCCGTAATCCCAGAAGTGAAAACTCATTGATCCAACATTAATATGTGCTTTGTGCAATTTTGAATGTTCTTTGGCAAAGTCAATTCCATAATTCATCACAGTCCCATCTCTGTTGTTAACTGTGTTGAGCAAAAACGCCCCCACCCTCACCCAGTGTTGCCCTTGATCTAATATTCTAAGTGTCAGAGGTTCCATATTTTAATAGAAAATGTGCCCTGGCTGTGAGGTAGTGGAGAGTGAACGTCACTCATTACCTACAGGGACAATTCTCAATGAAGGCCTTAAATGATGCTCAATTAAGCTGGTTCTCATGTGGCCTCTGTGTCTTCGACAGCTGCTGAATCCTCTGATCACACACGATGGGACTTGTACACTTGAAATCAAACATATTTTTAAAACTTCTGTTGTTGAGAATTCCCACCTCATTTTTCCATGGACAAAATTATTCTTTATGTCATAGTGCACTTAAAATTTGGTATTACCTAGAAGTTAAAGAAATATGATAACCGTGCCAAACTGCTATCTCTAGGTAAGATTATTCCGTCAGAAAACCCTCTCCCAGTTCCCCTGTAGCTCTTCAGGAATCCCCATCTCCCCATAGCTCTTTGTGCCCATGGATGGCGCTTCCAAAGTAGAGAAGACCGTTTGTCAAGAAGGGAAGCAGAAGGGGGACGAGAGGGTCTTGCAGGCAGAGCTGGAATCGACTTCCACTCTGCTTCTTGCAAGCTGTGTGATGCTAGGTGAAATTTCTCCTTCCTCTGGAGCCTCTATTTTCTTAGATTTGGAGCAGGGTGGTCACACTGACCTTGTAGATTTCTGAGAATCAGAGACAGCACATGAAAAGCCTGGAGGCCATTCTCTTAAGAGTAGCTGTGACTCATGTGTGGACAATGGGCTTTTCATGCTTCTGTTTCTCTCTGTTTATCTGATGCAAGGAACATGCTCCGGTGATGATGGTGAGGGAGGAATTAGGATAGACATAGACACCCCTGTGTCAGAAACATGCTTCTTTATTACTGGGTTATGACTCTGTCTTCCCAGGGACAGGCCCCAGCCTGCGTACATTTGCAGACAGAGTGGCGTGTGGGGATAGCAGTTTGTCCCCACGACTTTTCTTCACTCCCCTGCTGTTGGAAGGACTCAGTTGAAGGGACACTTTATGGCATTGATGCTGCCATTTTGAAACCTGGAGGAGGGAAAGGTGCAAGGGACTATCACCTGAGGCATAAGGTGCAGCTTGTGTTGGTTTTGGTGTTTTTGTGTCCATCATATTCATATATTTCAAAACATTTTCTCCTCCTGACTTGTAGGTCAATGTGGCTACAGGGAAGCCTCATCCTTTCTCAGAATGGCCCTACTTGCCCGATGTCATGGCTGGCCCTTCAGGACCATTGATGGGCTGCCAGCCGCCTCCTCTACCTGGGTGTTGTCTGGGAACTCAAACACTCCCTCCATCTGAAGGTTTTCTGGGACCTCAACAAACTCCTCCACTGGAGAGTCCTCTGGGAATTCAACCACCTCCACTCGACTGTCCTCTGGGAACTCAGCCACCTCCTGCACTAGAGAGTCCCCTGAAAACTTAACCACCTCCTCCACTCGATTGTTCTCTGGGGCCTTATCCAGCTCCTGCAGCTGTCAGTCCTCCAGGACCTCATCCACCTACTGCAGCTGCCTGTCTTTCCGGACCTCATCCACCACCTGCGGCTGTCAATCCTCCAGGACCTCAATCACCTGCTGCACCTGTTGGTCCTCCATGACCTCATTGACCCACGGCATGCATCTGACCTCATCCACCTCCTGCAGCTGTCAGTCCTCCGGGACCTCATTCACCTCCTGCAGCTGTCGGTCCTCCGGGACCTCATCCACCTCTCGAAGCTGGTGGTCCTCCGGAACCTCATCCACCTCCTGCAGCTGGTGGTCCTCCGGGACCTCATCCACCTTTTGCAGCTGTTGGTCTTCCGGGACCTCATTCACCTCCTGCAGCTGTTGGTCCTCTGGGACTTCATCCACACCCTGCAGCTGTAGGTCTTCTGGGACCTCATCCACCTCCTGCAGCTGTTGGTCCTCTGGGACCTCATCCACCTCCTGGAGCTGTAAGTCTTCTGGGACCTCATCAACATGCTACATGTGTCTGTCTTCCGGGACCTCATCCACCTCCTACAGCTCTTGGTCCTCCCAGACCTCATCCACGTCCAGCATGTGTCTTCCCTCCAGGACCTCATCCATCTTTTATAGCTGCCTTCCTCTAGGACATCATTTACCTTTTTGTTCTGTGAGGCCTCTGGGACCTCCGACTACATCTCCACTTAGTAACCTCTGGATCCTCAGCCACCCCTTCTACCTGGGTGGCGTCTGGCCCCTCAATAACCACCTTCACATGAATCTCCTCGGTTACTTCAATAATCTCCATTTGTGGTCCCTGGGACTTCAGCCACTTCCTCCACCAGGGTCTCCTCTAGTACATCTGCCACCTCCTCCACTTGGCTGGCCTCTGCTATCTGAACTCCTCCAGGACCTCAACCAGCTCCCCTACCCATTGTTGCCTGTAGGACCTCGACCACGACCTCCACATGTACTACTTGGTATATTTATCTGAACAGTATGAACTGAGTTGCAAAATGGATTCATCTTTCCCTTTCTGAATGAATAGAAATGTTACAGATTGTACTGCAGGGCTTTGCACTGGCTGAGGATGTGGTCACTTTGCTCAAGTTTCTGAGAGTACAAGTCAGTTGCATTATTTCCTCATCATGACCTTGGCAGAAGGTATCTTCTGTAGATGAGGAAAGAGTTTTTTTTCATTTTAAGGGGTGGGGGCAGAGTCTTGCTCTGTCACCAAGGCTGGGGTGCAGGGGTGCACTCCTGGCTCACTGCAACCTCCGTCTCCAGGGCTCAGGTGATCCTTCCACCTCAGCCTCCAGAGTAGCTGGGACTACAGGTGTGCAACACCATGCTTGGCTATTTTTATTTTTTAACTTTTTGTAGAGACCACGTTTCACCATGTTGCTCAGGCTGGCCTCAAGCTCCTGGAGCCATGCCATCTGCCCACTTTGGCCTCCCAAAGTGCTGAGATTACAAGTGTGAGCCACTGTGCCCAGCCAGAGGTTATTTATAGAAGCTAGAAATACAAGTTTTGCAGGCTTGTGTGGAACCTGGGCCATATGGCCAGCTCTGTGAGGGATGAGACCCATCCCTGGCTGGCAGGGCATCCTGTGTGCTGCAGCAGAGAGACCCACACTGAAGGGCACAGAGCTTCTGACCAGCCCAATGGAAACACAAGTGAAGGGACACAGGGTGCAGAAGGAGGAGACAGAATCTCCTGGGAGTAAACAGGAGGCTGTGGAAGAGAAAGCTGAAGCAGGGAGGTGTGACATGGGGGGTTGTTGAACTCAGGTAGAGCTGGAAGGCTGCTCCTAGCCAGGCAAGCAGCGTGAGCAGGAGCATGGAGGCTGCGGTGAGGGCCACACAGAGCTGCCATGGGAGCTCAGATACCACATTGTGCACAGGAAATTACCACCCCAGCACTTCCTTGTTGCCCTACAGCCTTTAGTCCATTATCGGTAGGAAGATGATTCTTTCCCTGGGTGCATGAAGGCTCTAGATCGGGGTGAATGAATGCCTAGAGGTCTGAAAATTTTAACTTGGTTCTGTCAGGGGAACCTGTCTCCCTGAGTTTTCACGGCCTAAGGAGACTAACAATGAGGATGGGTCTGGTTCAGTGGAGCTGCGGCCTTGGCCTTCAGAATGAGGCCAACTCTGGCTGGAAACTCAAGGCCAATCCTGAGCTGCTGTGACCTACTCTGATCTCCTGCACCCTCTCCTTCCCACCCACAACTCTCAGCTTTGCATCTCCCAACCTTGGCAGGCAAAATGCTTCCCCTTCCCTGTGTCTTTGCTGCCTAAGCCCAGACACCAACTCTCAGTAGAGCTCAGAGCCCCAGCTTTCTCAGAAATGAGCTGGGAATGATGCGATTATGAGGTCATGGTGAGGACAGGGAGACCAAGCTCATAAGGAAGGCATCTTGCAAAATAGCTGGTAGATGGTAGAGCCTCACCCCTCCCGCTGGTTAAATGAAAATATTTCCACTCAGAAGATCAGCAAAAGGTGTTCATTGAAGTTCATTTAATAAACCTTAGGGTGTAGCAGCTCAGGCTCTGGGATTTCCAGTTTCTCTTTCAAAAGATAAGGGAAAGCCCCTGTCTCCAAGATTAGAATTCAGATCCTTACGAGATGAAGAGATCCTAAAAATGCATACACAGTTAAACTCTGAGATTTGTATCTGTGATCTGTGGATAATTATTCTCCATGACATACAGACACAGATATGGCCACACACAGAAGTATTCAGCAGGGGCACAGATATTTCATAGAAGACAAAATGTATATTGGGCAAAAGAAGGTCACCTGGAAATAAACCGAAATCTTTTTACCTTACAGGATAATTTTGAAATTTGAAGAGTCTCCTGGGCCATGATATCTTGGAAAAGTCTCTACCATATTTGATGCTCCATGTCCCATGCTTCCTCCTCTCTCTCTCATTTCCAGTGTTTCCCTTTAGAAACATTTGCAGTCCTATCTTTCTGGGTGTCCGCTTCCTGGAGGACCAGTTCACACCCCAGGGTATACCAGGTGTGACTCCTCATACACTATTCAAACTCAGGCAGATACTGCCTTGCTGGACACAGAAGCAGGGTTACCCTTTGGGTAGTGTTGACTGGGAAGGGTCCGAGGGGGGCTTCTGGGGTGGGGGAATATCCTGTATCCAGCCACGGGTGGAGGTTGTGCTCATTCATTCTAGAAAGAGTCACTGTGCTCCTAGTGACTGCCAGTGGTGCCTTGTGAGCAGATAGACAGTAATACATCCCCATGAGGTGGCCAACTTCTGACAGGGAATAGAAGGGGGCCCAGCAGTGGCTGTGGAGCCTGTGAGGGGCCTCGCAGAGACTCAGGGTTTGTCAGAGCCCATTCCCCACTGAGCCAGCTGCCCTCGGTAGAACCAACTCCAGGCAGCTCTAAGGGAAGTTGAGCTGGGTGTAGACATTTCTCCATAAGTCCTGTGCCCCCCACCATCTTCCTGTAATTTTTAAATTGTGTGATAGGCAGAGGTCGGTGGTGAGAGGCTCACTGAGCAGGACTGGAGAGGAGTAGAGAACGCAGGGGTGAGTTCAGTCAGAGGATGAGACAGGCAGAGAGAAGAGAGAGAAGGGATGAGAGAGGGAGGGGAAGGACAGAGAGAAGGAGAAAGACAAGGAGGATAGAGAGAGAGGGGTTGAAACAGTGAGAGAAAGAGAGAAGGGAGAGAGAGAGAAGGTGGAAGGTGAGGAGAGAGAGAGAGAGAGATGGAGATGGGAGGATGGAGTCATGGAGAGAAGTTGATTTGGGCCCAGGGGGAGAAAAGGAAAGCTGGAAGAGACAAAGACAGAAGGACCCACAGTGAGAACCAAGGGAGTTGGAGGGAGGGAGATGTCCAGAGAGCTGGCCAGTGATCCACACACGGAGGGAAAGGCAGAGAAAAAAAGACAGAGAAGAGAGGAATGAAGACAGGAAACAAGAGAGATGGAGAGGACTGAGACAGGGAGAGGAGGCTGGAGAGAATCACAGAGAAACAGCACAATAGAGGTAGGGAAAGAGTTGTTGAGGACAGGGTCACAGAGAGAAAGGAAGGACAAAGAGGGAGGCAGAGAGAAGCAGAGAAAGAGAAAGCAGGGAACAAAAGGGTGAGCCTGCAGGAGGTGGAGGGGGGCAGATGGCCTGGGTGAGGGGACAGCAAAGGCAGGTAGTCCTGGGACTCAGGAGCCATGGGAGTTCTTGCACTCCAAGGCTGTGACCTCCTTAAGGCCCAGCGCCATGAAAGCCCATCACATGGGGACACGCAGGCCTCCCTTGTGGCTGGGTTGCTGTGTGGAGCCTCTGGGTCTGTCCCTGAAGCAAGGACTTCCAGGGGAAAGGGCTGCCCTGTCTCAGGTTTGCCTCCTCTGTGGGGTGGGGATCCCAGCAGCCTCCCTCGCTGCCTGGTCCCTGCTGCATTTCCCATCCTGGCCAGCTAGGTGGCTGTCAAGTCCCATACCTGGGAACCAGGCTGAGACCCTTTGTCCAGCCTCATCTGTTCTCACCTGGCTCCAGATTCCAGCCACAGCTCTGGCAAACAGTCCACACATGCTGGCTGTCACCAGATCCACATACCCCGGGTGGATTCCTGCCCTGTTCCCACAGGACAGCCCTCAACCAATGGAGACAGGAACATGGAGTTAAATGCTTCTCCCTTTTTCACTGAGAGAGAGACATGCACAGTCTGATGCACTTTCTTTCCTTCTTTCTTTTTCTTTCTTTCTTTTTTTTTCTTAAGACAGTATCTCGCTCTGTCACCCAGGGTGGAGTGCAGTGGTGTGATCTCGGCTCACTGCCCCCTCCGCCTCCTGGGTTCAAGCAATTCTCCCACCTCAGCCTCCCGAGTAGCTGGGATTACAGGCACCCGCTACCATGCCCAGCTAATTTTTCTATTTTTAGTAGAGACGGGGTTTCACCGTATTGGTCAGGCTGGTCTCAGACTCCTGACCTCGGGTGATCTGCCTGCCTCAGCCTCCCAAGGTGCTGGAATTACAGGCGTGAGCCACCGCGCCTGGCCATGATGCACTTTCTAGATGCTGTCCTAGAGATCACACTGGGTTAAGCCTCAGTTGCCTTCAATGTGGTCATCTCTACAGTATACCCTTAGCTTTTTTCTCCTCCTTTACTTTCCCAGACCCTCACTCTGCTCCCTGGATTCACTTTTCGAAATAGTCCTCCTGCTGCAAAGTCCTGGGCACCTGCCCTACTTTCAGCATTGGAAGGGGGGCCCAGGCTAAGACCATGAGGCCCCACTGTGGGGGCCCACAGCCCCGTTCCTCCCTCTATTCCCACCACAGTTCCTCCCTCCTGTCCCTCAGTGCTTCCTCGCCTTTCCCTCCAGCCCACCGTGAGATCCCAGGGGACGGAGCAGCCCCTTCTCTGCCCCAGTGCAGGGCTTGGCCTTAGCACACGGTCAGTCTGTGCTGGGGTGAAGTGGTGAATGAGTGAGTGGTTGAGTGATAATGCATCATCAGATCTGTCTTTTCCACATGTCTCTATCTCCACCCAGAACCAGTTTTCTCATCCACAAATAGGCATATGAGGTTGGGTGCTCCTAAACCCTGCAAAATTCAGAGCTGGCACAGTTGGGAACTGACCTTCCTTGACCTCACCTCACTTTCTGTATCTATAAAATGGGGTACCTGCCTCTAAGAGTAAAAAGGAGGCCTGGCATAGGGAAAGAAATTCTCTCAGCTCGAGCACCCAGATCATCCATCTTGCTCTCAAATACCTAATACAGGGGACCATGTTTTCTGCTATAATTGGTATTGGAGCTGGTACCATTTATTAAAGGCAATTCAGTTATGAAGCTTCATTTATTAAAACAGTGTAGTAAATGTGTATGTATGGACAGACAGATAAATATAATAGAAGAGCAAGTCCAGATGTAGACAGAAATCCATACAGAAATAGAGAATGGGACAAAGGAAGCATCTCAATGCAGGGTGCTCAGACACCTGGCCAAACATCTGAAAACTAAAAGAATAAAATTGGCTGGGCACAGTGACTCACACCTTTAATTCCAGCACTTGGAGAGGCCGAGGCAGGTGGATTACCTGAGGTCAGGAGTTTGAGACCAGCCTGGCCAACATGGTGAAACCCCGTTTCTACTTCTAATTTATGAGTTTAATTAGTTCACATTGATAAGGATAACAGAAATATTTGGGCTTATTGCTGCCATCTTTTGTGTTATACATATACCCTTGGGATGGATATTCCCAAGGGTCATGGACTGTGCTGTGGACCACACACTACGCAAGGCCATGAGACAGAAGCCAGGCCTGGAGGGACCTTCACAAAGGACCTTTGGGCCTGCTGGAGTGCAACTATGGCAAGTGACCACAGCGGAGACACTGGCCACTAGCCATGTCTGCTCCCACCACAAAGCCTCATCCAGGTAACCCAGCATCACTCTTCTTGGGGCTGTGCCCACTGCCCTGGCTCTGTCTGCCCATGGCCCTGCAAACATCCACAGGACAAACAAGGAATCTGTATGAAATCCCTATCGGCATCCATCCTGGTCCTAGGAACAACAGGAGTGTAGAAGGAGGAGGATTAAGAGCCTCAGCTCATATGACCTGTGGAAGATAGGACAGGGCCAGCTGGCTCTTCCCTATAGGGCCCAGTAGCACACAGCTACTCGAGGACACATGTTAGGGATAAATATGAACCTGGGGGCCAGGCGCGGTGGCTCACACCTATAATCCTAGCATTCTGGGAGGCTGAAGCAGGTGGATCACCTGAGGTCAGGGGCTCAAGACCAGCCTGGCCAACATGGCAAAATCCTGTCTGTACTAAAAATACAAAAATTAGCTGGGCATGGTAGTGTGTGCCTGTAATCTCAGCTACTCAGGAGGCTGAGGCAGGAGAATCACTTGAATCCAGGAGGCGGAGGTTGCAGTGAGCCGAGATTGCGTCACTGCATTCCAGCTTGGGTGACAGAGCAAGACTCCATCTCAAAAAAAAAAAAAAAAATGAACCAGAGAAGGGAGCAGTGCACTAACGCAGAAACCCACTACTGAGCTGGAGGGAAGCAAGAGGCCAGCAGAGAGCTGATCTACACTTTGATGTGGCTTTGCTGCATCTGTCATGAGGCCTGCACCCACCTACAGGTCCACTGTAGTCAAGGTAGACAGGTCAGTCTTAAACAGAGCATTACAGCGCCCTGGGAGGTGGGAGTCTCTGCCACAGGCGGGACATGGGCTAGTGTCCTCAAGCAGAAAGGCTCTTCAAGGTGCCATGCAAAGGTTGGCATCCAATCCCACAACCCTCTCCCAAAAAGAGGAGCATTTTGGCCCCCCAAAAAACTGTTTCTGGGTCAGTGGAGCCTGATGGCAGCCATCCCTCTCTCTACCACCGGAGGAAGAGCCAGCCACCCTTTTCCTTCCTTCATCAAGGTAACCAGCCATTAGCATCCAAGCCAAGGGGCAGGGGAAATACAAAGAACGCATATTCACACAAAATTTCACTCCATGCTTAACCAGGCTCTGCTCCTTATTGATAACGGTGACCCTGCAATGGGCCTCAGTTCTTACGTCTGTAAAACAGGCATAAACAGCTAGCTCCCAGCTGACAGACACTGGTTGCAGGAACGGCATGGGATAAGCACTCATGTGCATTATCCTTTCCGCCTAAGAAAAGTACTCCCCAAAAGGCTGTGCACAGTGGCTCATGCCTGTAATCCCAGCACTTTGGGAGGCCGAGGCGGGCGGATCACCTGAAGTCAGGAGTTCGAAATCAGCCTGGACAACATGGCGAAACCCCATCTCCACTAAAAATACAAAAATTAGCCAGGCAAGGTGGCGGGGGGTGCCTGTAATCCCAGCTACTCGGAGGCTGAGACAGGAGAATTGCTTGAACCCGGGAGGTGGAGGTTGCAGTGAACCGAGATTGCGTCACTGAACTCCAGCCTGGGCAACAGAGCGAAACTCTGTTTCAAAAAAAAAACAAAAAAGGTCCCCCCGCCCCGAACAAAGGAGAAAGGCAGAGCAGTCCCTGAGACAAGATGGGGCGCAGGCACACCAAGGCCCCCGGAAACCTGGTCAGAGTGTCTGTCCCAACTGGCCTGCCCTGTTCAGAGAGATGGAAAGCTGGGGAGAGTCTTGATCTCTCGGGGGCTCTGAACGGCCTCCTGGTGAGGGATGGGGGTCCCTGAGCCCTGAGGCTTATTATCCCCCATGGGAACACACAGAACTCCCTGGAACCCCCTCCTCTGTCCACAGGGAATGCGCGAGCCACCTCTGCCCTCTACTGGCTGAATTAAAAACTGCAGCCAATTGAAGGATGGGCAAATAAATGTCACACATCACTCTCCCTGTTCATTCATTCCTCATTCACGGAGAGCTGCTTTGTATCAGGTGCCAAGATAGGACGGGAGGCATAATTTTAATTCTCTGTGTCTCCAAGGCTGTATCTGCATGAATTCTCCTGTACTTCCCCTGCTTCCCAAAGGCCTGGTCTGACAGGAACAGTCTTCATCTTTTTTCAGGGCTGTTCTAACTGTCTCATCCTCATTTGTCCACAGAGGCCAGCTCAGTTCTGTGCCCCTGGAGAAGGCTGATGTGAAGCACTATCCATTGCTGAGCACTTGCTAGGTCCTAGGCACTAGCTAGACCCTTTCTGTCTACCATATCCCTCCCAAGCTCACTGCAAGGCACGGTCCATCTTCATTCCCTTGTAACAGCTAGGGAAACTGGGGCTCAGTGAGGTTCCACAGCTTTTCAGAAGTCGCATGGCCTGAAGATTCTAGAGCCTGCTTCAAACCTTGTTCCCCCTGACCCCAGAATCTCTGTTCAGGTTTCCCTGAAGATGCCAGAGTGTGTTCGGTCCACAATGACCACAGTTACGGACCAGGCCCAGCCTGGTCAGGCTCACCTGGCCTTTCACACTGCAAGGTGGACCTGGTCTGAACCTCAGGTCCTAGGACTGCTCACTATATCACCCTGAGGATCCAGCCTTGCTTTTTACCTATAAGGTGTGCATATCTATCCCTGGGCAGGCTTGATCCTGGCTCAGCATGGCATCCCAACCCCTAGTCCTCAAGCTGCAGACACCCCAGCGCTTCGCCCAGGCTGCCCTGAGGCCTTTAGCACACGCATTGTACAGATGGTGATGACACTGGGGCAGGCTTTTTACCCCAAATGAAGAATCTGAGGGCCCAGTAAGCCAGATGCGCTGGTGAAGAGGAATCCCAGCCTGTACCAACCTCTCATTGCCTTGAACAGCTAAGCTCAGTCCAGCTCTGGCCAGGACCCTTACAGCCAGGGGGCAGCAGCCCTGCTGGGCCCAGACCAGGAGCCACCTACCCTTTAGAATGTCAGCACAGTCAAACCATTCTTTTACATTTATGGAGACTGACAACTAGCCTCCACTGTTGTCTTATCACTGAGCAACACAGAAGCATTGGCAGAGAGGAAGTGTTCTGATATTTCAAATGTTTCTGGTGGTCGAAATGCTCCCAGATAATAGCATAGTTTTGGAAATAATGGACTACATCATAAAATTAAAATTAACTCCTTCTGTTTTCTAGAACTTATAATGAGAATAATTTAAATAACCATTATTTACCAAATTTTATTCATATATGTATAATACTATTGATGTATCATTTGAGGAAAAGTAAAGCACATATAAAAGAGGCTTTTAAATTAAAAACAAATATAAGGGACTTTTAAAAGTTTGTGGGAAAATGAAATTAAAAGACAAGAATAAAAAATATAAACTTTATTTCTCTCAAGTTCTATCAAGGTCAAGACACTTTTGTAAGTGATGATATCGTCCATTTTGTCCATCTCCAAAGAACTGAGGATCCTGGGAATTTAACCATGTCAAGGCAGTCTTTTTTACATTATTAAATGGAGAAAAACGGGTCTCCTTTAAATAATTTCTTAAGATTAGGAAACAAAAAGAAGTCATAAGGAGCCAAATCAGGACTGTAAGGTGGATACCTAGTGATTTCCCATTGAAACTCGCAAAATTGACCTTGTTTGATGAGAGGAATGAGCAGGATCATTGTCATGATAGAGAACTCTCTGGTGGAGCTTTCTTGGGCATTTTTCTCCTAAAGCTGTGATTCTCTCAAAACACTCGTAATAAGCATATGTCACTGTTCTTTGGCCTTCCAGAAAGTCAACAAGCAAAATGCCTTGAGCATCACTGAAAATTGTTGCCCTGACCTTTGCTCTTCACCTGTCTGCTTTTGCTGTGACTAGGTCACCTCTGCTTCTTGGTAGCCATTGCTCTGATTGTGCTTTGTCTTCAGCATTGTACTGGGAAAGCCAAGTTCCATCTCCTGTTACAATTCTTTGAAGAAATGCTTCAGGATCTTAATCCCACTTGTTTAAAATTTTCATCTAAATCTCCCCTCCTGTCTGCAGTTGATCTGTCCATGGTGTTGGGTCTTTTTCTGCTGTTCATCATTGATCCTCTTCAATTATGGCATGAAGAAGATGAATATTTTTCCTTACAAATTGATATGGATGGTCTACCGCTGTGGACTTCATCTTCCACATAATCTTGTGGTTTTTTTTTGTTGTTGTTTTTTTTTTGAGATGGAGTCTTGCTCTGTCACCCAGACTGGAGTGCAGTGACATGATCTCAGCTCACTGCAACCTCTGCTTCACGGGTTCAAGTGATTCTCCTACCTCAGCCTCCCAAGTTGCTGGGATTACAGGTGCATGCCACCATACCCAGCTAATTGTTGTATTTTTAGAAGAGATGAGGTTTCACCATGTTGGCCAGGCTGGTCTCAAATCTCTTCCTTTCTTAAAATGTGTTTTCCATTTGTGAACTGCTGATTTTTTTGGGGGGGGGGATGTTGTCCCCATAAACTTTTGGTAAAGCATCCATGACTTCACCATTCTTCCACCCAAGCTTCACCATGAATTTAATGTTTGTTTTTACTTCAATTTTCACAGAATTCATGTTGCTCTGGTAGGTGCTCTTATCAAGCCAATCTCTGATCCTTCTCAGTGCCTCAAACTAGACCCTATTCAGAAATATTATAACAAGTTAGTGTGAGTTTATTTTGGTGTAAAAAAAATTTGAAGTCCATGCACAGTTTTTTCATAATACACATTTTCCATGAACTTTTTGAAGCCCCCTCATAAATAATTCAAAAATACATTTGGGAAAATTTGAGAAATTATGTAGGGCCTGGTGGTAATTGGGCATTTGGACTGGCAGGATCATGTGGTGGCTCAATGAGAAGCCAGAAAGCAACTCTTTCCCATTTTCTGGGTGGGGGCTCCAGCCCCTGAGTGGGGATAAGGAGGAAAGCAGCCCTTCATGGAAGCTGGCTCAGGAGTTCACCCAGGCTTCCTGGAGAAGGGGACAGAAGAGGATGTCTCCTTCCCATGAACTCCACATTTGAGTTCACTGGAAACATAGGCTCTGGGAATGGAGGGGAAGAGGGCAGAGGAAAGGCTGGCAGCTGAGGTGGGGTATAAAGGGAGGGGAGTGTCAGAGGAGGCTGCGTCCACGCCTGGAGGTCAGAGGGCAAATGCCCCCAATCACGCTCCATCTGGGTTATCAGCTGCTTGAGGATCCATGTCCAGAAACTCGGGGAATCACTGTGTCCGTTTTCCTTGCCTCGGGACTGTGCCTCTTGTCTGGAGATGATGAGGTTTCTTTCAGCCTCCCATGCTCTCCACCAATGATCATGAGTTTCCATTCGAGACACAGAATCTGGCTTTGAGAATAAGAAACAGTTCCCTCCAGCTTTTCTTCAAGAGCCTCAAGTCACCTTCTGTAACTCCAGATCACAAGCTGGACCCATCCAGGGCAGCAGGCACTCCTGGGCTTTGACCTCCTCTGTCTCGAGGTGAAACTCGGTGAGGGTTTTACATTCCACTGAACTACTGCTGGACTGCAGTGGCACGTCCCTGATCTCTGCACAGAATGTCTTTCATCCCCTGGTTAAACAAGTCTGTCAAAAACAAGAGAACTTTCACCACACGCATACCATGACACCCTCACCACCTCCCAGGGTGATCCAGGCCGAGCAAAACTTGTGCTCACCTGCTTCTGCCTCAAGCTCCATGGAGTCTGCTGGGTTCACCAATAAAGCAGCTCACGCGAGGCTGAAGGTCCTCCCCCATTTCCCAGGCTGCTGCAGAGCTTCTTGCAGCCACCATGGCCAGCTGGGCCGAAACACTGAGACCACTGACCACGGTCTGCCCAGAACCACACCCGTGCCTGGCAACAGGGCAGACTATCACTGGAGAGGCGTGGGGGCACAGCGACAATAGAATCACACCCTCCACCCTGCCCTCTGCTGAACCCCCTCCTGTGGCCCCAGAGCACTCTCCCCATCCTGAGCGCTCCCTGTTCTCTCTGCCTGGAAGGCTTCCTCCGGCTGCTGGCGTGGAGCACATATGTCCACACAAAATAACTGCACTCCTTACCGCAGGCCCCAGGGGTCCGGGGCGGGCCTGGGGCGGCTTGGTTCTCAGTGGAAGGAGGGAAGGAATGCCGCGGAAGGAAGGAACAGGTGAGTGAGTGAGTGAGTGAGTGATGAGGCCCAAAACCATCCCTTGCCCTTCCTCAGAATTCACACTTTCTTGTTCTCTCTTGTCAGTTGCTTCCCTAAGGAAAGCTTAAAATCCCTGTCCACAAAATACCTGAAATATATAATTAAAAATATACATGTATATATTATATAATTTTAAATATTTAACAAATTGAAATAAATGCAAATCTATACACTGATAACATCAGGTGATCATATAACACTAAAATTCATCATTTTGGACTACAATGAAAATCTCAAAAATGTGTTTGGAAAGTACAAATAATAGAGATTATTTTCTATTAATAACGTGTCAATGAAACTAGAAATGAGTGAAAAATTGAGGAAAAACAGCCACATAGGAATTTTATGACTCCCCCATAAGCCATTTTGGATCAAAAAGCCACCAAAACCAACATTCAGTTCAGAAAGTTAAAAATGGAAAAGAAACACAAGGAAAGCAGAGAAACAGAAATGAGATCAAAACGAATTAAAATGTCTTAGAAACTGTGAAGGCTTTGATGCAAAAATCCAAAAACAAAAAAAAATGGCTTCTTTCCTTTCTTTTAAGAGAGGAGCAGAAATATACAATTAAAGATGAGATCAAACAGAAAACCAAAGACATAGAAGAGAACTAAGTTCAGAGCTGCTTTGTAGAGCTCAGTGCTAGAGGTGGAGAGAGCTGGCCATGCCTGCTGGGAGGGGCGGGGCAGCCCAGGAAGTGGGAGTGGGGTCGGCCTGGTGGGGGTTGGGAGGTGGGGCCCTGAAGCTGCTGCTGGGCTACTTTTCGCCCAAGGGTGAAGATGGAACAGCCCTGGGTTGTCTATACAGGTCGCGGCCTCCACCTCATCCCACCCCACTTACTCTCCCGAGGAGGGCATGGATACCATGCCAGGGGGCCTGAAGAGGGTTGCAGAGCCCTGGAGGAGGCCAGGGCCAGGGGCTGCCACGGGAAGTGGAAGGCAGTGGCCCCCACTCCTCCCAGAGAGGCTTCTGGGAAGCCTGCACAGAGCCTGGGAGTCCAGGGCTGCCCCTCCTGCTGGAGAATACACTGTTCAGAACTAAAGGAACAGCGGGATCCCAGGACTTCACAGCCCGGGAACAGTCCCTCCAGAGCAGCGGGAACCAGGCAGTGTCCTGGGCAGATCTCGAGGAAGTGGAGGGAGATCCAGCCGGCTCCCACTCTTAGCTCCCATCCTGCCCACGGACACAATCTGCTCTCTGAGTGGGTGGTCCTCCAAAGTGTCTTCCCCTGCCAGAGCCTGTTTCCTCCTGGTCACTTGGGATTCTGACAGCCTCCGAGGAAAGGAATTCCTGTCCTCTTAGGCTGTTGTGACTGGCTCCGCAGTTGCAGTCTTGGCCTGTGAAGGAGGGGGCTCCTCCCAGCCAGGCCTTGTGTCCCAGGGCCTTTCTGTGGGCACTCCTGCAAACACCCCAGAGGCAGCCACCTCAACCCTGGGGCAGGAGAGAAGCCCTGCTTTGGTGGCCCAGAATGGATGCTTCCCTAAGATCCACCCACCCCATCCCCCAGTCCATTCAGCACACGCTGACCTTGCCCTCCTGGGGTTCTGTCCCCTAGGCCTGGGAGCAAAGCGATTGTCTCTATCTTGATGCCACCTCTGACCGCAAGGTCAAACTAGGCAGACATGACATTTACATTTCAAGAAGAACCATATTTTCATCCAGAAAGTCTGTACCAAGTTATACCGATCAACTGTGTTTGGGGATATCTATTTCCTTATATCTTTGCCAGCCCTGGATTTTAAAAACCTTTTTCTTTTTCTTTTTTTTTTAAAATTTTTTATTATACTTTAAGTTATAGGGTACACGTGCACAACGTGCAGGTTTGTTACATATGTATACATGGGCCATGTTGGTGTGTTGCACCCATTAACTCGTCATTTACATTAGGTATATATCCTAATGCTATCGCCCCCCACCCCACAACAGACCCCGGTGTGTGATGTTCCCCTTCCTGTGTCCAAGTGTTCTCATTGTTCAATTCCCACCTATGAGTGAGAACATGAGGTGTTTGGTTTTTTGTCCTTGTGATAGTTTGCTGAGAATGATGGTTTCCAGCTTCATCCATGTCCCTACAGAGGACATGAACTCATCATTTTTTATGGCTGCATAGTATTCCATGGTGTATATGTGCCACATTTTCTTAATCCAATCTATCGTTGTTGAACATTTGGGTTGGTTCCAAGTCTGCTATTGTGAATAGTGCTGCAATAAACATACATGTGCATGTGTCTTTATAGCAGCATGATTTATAATCCTATGGATATATTCCCAGTAATGGGATGGCTGGGTCAAATGGTATTTCTAGTTCTAGATCCCTGAGGAATCGCCACACTGTCTTCAAATCTTTTTATTTATTTCTTTTCTTTCCTTTCTTTTTTTTTTCTCGCCATCTGTTTGCCGAAATACAATGTTGCATTTTTTAAAGTGTTTATTTTTTGAAACAAGTACAATTGAGCAACCTTTGTTTCTCCTGACTTTCTCCATTTCTTTGATTATATTTACTTATTCCTATCCGTCTAGTTTTTTCCATTTCCTACTGGGGCTTGTATTGCTTTCTTATTGAGCTGCGGTTCACTCCATTCAAATATTTTCTACTCTGTCACTTATCTTTTACCCTTACTTGTGGCTTTTTCCTAATGCACAAGAATTTCATTTTTAAGAAATCAGATTTGGCAAGTGTTATGGAGTCAATGTTTGTGTCCCCCCAAATTCAGATGTTGAAATCCTAACCTCCAATGTGATATCAGGAGGTGGGACCTTTCAGAGGCGGGGCCCTCATAAATGGGATTGGTGCCCTTATCACACACACCCCAGCTCTCTCACCCTCTTTCTGCCGTGTGAGGATGCAATGAGAAGTTGGCCATTTGTACCCAGAAGTGGGACCTCTCCAGAACCAACCATGCTGGCACCCAGCTCTCAAACTTCCAGCTACGAGAACTGTGAGAAACAAATTTCTGTTATTTATAGGCCACCCCGTTTGTTATTTTGTTATAGCAGCCTGAAAAGACTAAGACAGCAAATTATTTGGCTTCTGATTTCCATCCTGTCCCATAAGAGTCACATGAAAGTGTCTGACAAACCTCCCATATTATAGGGACTCCACTGTTGAGGTTGTAAGCTCTCCTGTTCCCTTGGGTTGATTTCCTCTCCCCACTGAATTATTTATCTACCCACATTGTTCTGCATCTGAGCCGACATGAACCAAACTCAGAACACAGTCCTTGTTCCTTCTTTCTCCAAACGTTCCTCATGGAGGCATTATGGTAGGAAGGAAGAAGACCTCATAGGCCAGGGACCAGATGTCTGTCACATTGCCTCTTACACTGTGCCTGAGTCATACTTACTCTAGGGAATTTGCCACAGGCATAAAGTTATTCTAAAGTTCCCACCCCATGCCTTTCATCCCAGCTAACCCCTGCTGAGCTAATTATTTTCCCCAGACTCAACTCTCATCCCATATTCCTCCATCCACTGCCAACTCCAAAGTACCTCCTATACTTTTCAGACCAAGCTCCCACCTCCTGAGCCCCATTCATACCTCCTATGTGTCTGCCCCTCATTGGATATTACATTTCTCTGGGACCTCTGACATGAGATGTCTTCCTCATTGGCATGCCACGGTTACTTCTAGGGTTGAAGCAACTGAAGTGCAGAGTGATCAATTGTATGGAGGCAGAAATTTAAAAATAATAAGTACTGCATTCATTCACTCCAAGAAAAGTAAAAGCCAAGGCCCAGAATGTGGCAAGGCAAGGGTTAAAAAGAAAAGACAAACAAGTTTTCCTCTGCCTAGCAAGCTCACTTCAAGGACAGTTATAAGATAACGCTGTTCGAGAAGTTGAAACCAAAGGAATAGGCTCCAGACACCCCACCTCAGGAGCAAGGGTGAAGGAAAAGAAAAAAAAAAGGACAAATATCTGTATTTAGCCAGTTCTTGTTTTTTCTTTTGATGCAGCTAGAAGGCCACCAGCTATGCAAGGCCACAAGTTATGCCAAGTCATCAGTTATGCTATAGATTATGTGACCTGTCATTATATGATTAACTGCCTTTGTTTTGCTTCTGTAGATTGCCTATAAAAATCCTGCTCAGTCTTTGTTCAAGGCTCAGCTTTTTGGATGTGAATCCACTGAGCCAGTGCACACCTTAAAATAAATACCCTCCTATATTCACCCATACTGGTCTCTCTAGTCCTCTGTGACCTGTAACGGTATAAATCCTTATAGTCACAGTGCTATGCTCTTAACAGGTGCTTTAAAAAAACAGCTCTGTGGAATGATTGACATTTACATCTCTGAGCAGCTGAGCCTGGCAAGACCTACCAAAGGGCAAGCAGGATCCTTATATCTTGCAGAATATCTTGCTAAGGAGAGCTCAGGAGGCAGAACAGATGGACACACCTCAAATTCATTCTCTGATATGACCCGTGCTACACCAAGCACCTACTCTGTGCCAAGCCCTGCATTGAAGGCAAGTATGAGACAGCAGACAAGGCCAGATGACCTTGGAAAGCCCCAAGTCCTATGGGGGCAACAGGTATAAATAAACAAGCATTGACATCCATAAAGAATTCCAACCTTTGAGAGTAACTGTGTGTGATGATGTGTTCATAATTTTGATTGTGGAAATTATTACACAGTATATACATATAGCAAATCACATTATATACCTTGAATACATACAATTTTTATTTGTCAATTATACCTTAATGAAGCTGGGGAAAAAAGCTTTCTTATTTGGGTTGATACATCATCTTCAGAGTGTGAGCAATAGAATTATTGCCATAACATTATTATTAATAATTAATGAAAATATTTAGTTATTTAAAGAACTACAACCTTTGAGAGCCCGGTACCAGATGGAGACAGCATTGGGTGTGATTTATGGAAGGTGCTTGGGAGCATCTTCCTGGGAGATTGGGAGCATCATGGAGGGTGGCTTGTCAGCTGAGACTGCAGGGATTTGGAGGACCCGCATGTGAAGAAGGAAGGGAGAGTGAATGGGTAGGGAAGGATTCAAGTGAAAGGCTCCAAGGAACATCATGTTAAACACTGAAAAAGAAACTAGAAATGGAATGGAGTAGAAAGAGAGGCTATCAAGGAAGGGGTTTTTTGGAAATACAGAAATTTCATCTGAAACCTGCAGCGCACCCCACACCCATGACAGAACGACAGGTGCAAAGACCCTGAGCAGGAACGAGCTTGGCCTGCTGGGGGAAGCCAAAGAGCCAAGGAGTCCGGAATGTGGGGAGTGGGGAGCAGAGTCCAGGATGAGGGTAGGGGGCAGGCACTGCACAGACATGCAGGGCAGTGCAGCCCAGCACGCACTCTGAATGTCATGAGATGGCCCAGGGGAGGATGATTGAGGTGAGGGTTGGGGTCATATTTACGTTTAAATGTGACTCTGCCATTTCCCACATCATCAACCTCCATGTGGCTGAATTCACTGGACAGTCCTGGGCCTCCCATCATGTAACCCATCAAAACCATTTTGCATAGTTGGTGGCTCCCCTGCTCTAGAAACAGTCTTCACCTGACTTCCAGGGACTCTGTGCTCCTGAGTTTCCTCAAACTCCACTGGCCGCTCCCTGCCAACCTCCTTTGCTCCGTCCACATTTCCCTAACACTGTGACACTTGGCTTTGTGGCTCAGAAGGTGGTTCTCTATCTTGCTTTCACTAATTATTTTGCATGTTATACCTAGAGTCCTCCCCCTACCCCAGGCAAGTATTCCAGTGTGTTTCTTAAGTGTGTCTATTTGTATGCATTCTTGAGAAACGTGCTTTTCTCTGTAATGTGTCATGTTTCATTGTATTGCCCACCTAGTGTCTTCTCAGGGTATAGGTTCTGTCTCAAACAGGACTGTGAGGCCCTTTGGCCTCATCCTCCCCTCCCCTCCCCGCCACATTCTGGGTCTTCCTGGCACCCCAGATCAGCTTTGTCTGCCCGTGAGACACGGGGGCCACACAGGCTTTGCCTCAGGCTGCACCAGGACATTCCCCAGAGCTGAGTCCTGTCCACACAGCCTGCTTGCCGGAAACCATGCAGGACCCATCTTCCTCCTGCTCTGATCAAACCCCAAGAACCACATCACCGGGGGCCATGGCAGGGATGACCTTCAATGAAAAAGAACCATTTGCTTATTCTCTTCACAACTGAACACGAGTGAAGGGAAATGTGCATCCACTTAAAAGTTCGGCTCCTCTCTCCACAGACCAATCCCCTCCACTCCTTCACTTTGTTCAAATTCAGTCACTTATCCATACTCCAGACATGGCCTGAGCATGCCCTCATGCCAGTCTCATGCAGACACCATGCAGGAAGGGCACAAGATAAGGCATAGGCAGCCTAAGGGCAGCAATGCGTAAGGAGAGCACACAGAACTCAGGGAGGAGCCAGAGGTGGCCACTGCCTTTGGTCCTAACCCTTTTTGGGGCCTCAGGGCCCCGCATGTAAAAATGGGCTTCCTAAGAATATCCACCTTGGTGAGATGTGGTGAGGAATGAACATGGCAGTGGTGTGGCTTAACATAGCTGCTAGTAACAAGAAAAACCTAGTCCATGAGACATCTGCTCCACGTGGACAGGATGGGGTGACCCCGAGGGGAGGATACTAACTTCCCCCGGTGGTGGGGGTGGGCAACCAGGGAATGCTATACAGAGCAGGTGTCATGTCTCTGGGGTTTTGCAGAGAATAACTAAGCATAGGGTAGTTGCTCCTTGAGTTTTTATTCATTGTTTTAGCAGGAACTATTAACAAATAAAGGCTTTAGTTTCATACAAACAAACTGACAAAAAAGATCTTATTTCTCTAGAGGGTAGGGAAAGTATAAAATTCTGAATTTTCATGTCGAGTGTGAGCCAAGTTAGAGGAACTTGGCCACCTGCAAACCACTCCCTCCCTCCATGGGAAGGAATCTGAGGCTTCCTAGGTGACCAGGAGCCGGGCTTCTTTTGTTGCCTTAATTTCCTTTCACCTGAGAGAAAATGAAAGCCAGGGTCTTTGTGCTCCAGGCCAAGGCCCAGATGCTGGCTGCCTGCTCCCCAGATGAGACTTCCTGGGCTGCCTCTCCCAGCACCATGTACCCTAGAGAGAGGCCAAGTCCCCAGTGTTCCCCTGGGGCCCATGGAGGCCCCTGCCTGAGCCTGTGGTCCTGGGAGCTGGGGAGAAGGTAGAGATGCTGCTGTCAGAGGTCCAGGCTAAGGACAAGTGGGGCAGGTAGGGCAGGTGCTGCTGGCCATGGATGGAAAGGCAGGCAAGTTCCAAGACCTTAGCAGGCCAAGGACTGCTCAGGCCCCTTGGGAGCAGACCCGCTCCCCAGACAGTCACCTGGCAAAGGCAGAATCTCCTCATGACGTCTCAGAAGCTTGTCCAACACCAGAAGGCAAGCCCCGCCTATTTAACATGAGGCCATAGGACCAGCCTCCCTGGATCCGAAAGGGCCACTCACTCCCTCCAAATGCACTCAGCCTGCAGGGGATACAAGGGACCAGGGAAAGAGAAAGACTTGAGGGCCTCTGTCTAAGGGGCTGGCCATCTGTGCTAGGACAAGTTGCTGCTTCTGCTCCAGGAAGCCCAGATAGGACTGGACTGGACTTAGACCACTTACCCCAGAAGTCCAAAAACCCAATCTCTGCATGTCTCTGAGTGGTCAGGGGGCTGGGATTCTAAAGCTGCTGGTCAGTCCCTAACTCCAGCCTACCCTGATGGGCCAGGTAAGCCAACTCACCCTCAGTCATCTTCTGGGACACATGAAGCAAACAAAATAGCCCTGTGGTTCTGTCTTCACTTTTCAGACAATTGCCCACGGCTCAACAAGAGCTAGTGGGTTAATCCCCTAATTTCCAGTAACCTCAGGCCTTCAGGACAGAGTCCATGGCCTCATTTCTGAATCTGCTTTGTCATTGTTTGAGCCTGTTACTGGCATGAGACAACGGTGGGGGAGGGGGTATGTCACAGGCTCCTGAGTCAAAGCTCCTAGTTATACATCTAGGTCTAAACACGTGGCTGTGGGACCCTGTGGAAGTTATCCAGACTCTCTGTGCTTTGCTTTCCCCCATCTATAAATGGGATATAAAAGGTACTACCTCATCATGTTGCAGTGAAGAAAAAACGAGATCAGTTATTAGCTGGGTCCCTCGCACATTACAGGTGCTTAGGAGACATCAGTCCTGCTCTAACCCCTGCCACATGCCTGGCCTGGGTGGGGCTTTCTGGAGACCCTGGCTCAGGGCACTGGCTGCCTGTGAAAGGGGGGTCCAGGAGCCCAGGCCCACAAGGAGCCCTGAGGCCTGTTGAGATGTGCTGACCTCACCTGGCACAGGCAAGGGGAGGGAGGGGGAGCTGGTCAGGGTCCAGCTGTTGGGGGAGACGAGTGAGGGAATTCACTCTTGACGGGGGTGCCTTTTCCACTAAATTAACATTGCCCCAGTCTGAGGGAGCAGCAGGAGAACACCATGCCCATCCTTACATCAAGATCCAACCTCCAGCACCAGGAAGCCCCTGCCTCCAGCTGGCCATGATGATGACAGGACAGGCTAAATGAGAGGGACCTGGCTTTGCCCTGAGGGTTGGTGGGTGGGGAAGGCGATCAGCAGCCAGGCGTCTGGGGAAGAGGAGCATGGCCACCAGGTGCCTCCAGGGTGAGACCAGGCCCAGCTCCCCCTGGCTCTAAAATACAAGCTTCCTGGGAACCTCCCATGGGAACTCGCTTCTTCCGAAATGGCCGTAGCATGCTGTCTTCTGGTAGATGGGCTTCTTCAAGTCCAAATCCCTGCATGTCCAGCAGAAAGGAAGGGCATTGGAAGATGGAACAGGAGCAGGGTTTCTTTCTCCATTTCAAGGACAGGAGGGAGCAACGAACTGTAACACAGCCCTCCTCGCATGGCACTACGCCTCCCCACCGCAGTTGCGCGCACCCATCCTATCTGTGCCATACCCTGGTCTCGTTTTATAGCCCCACGGATGCTTAGAGGTTCAGGGACCAGGATCTAACTCCAGCCTTCCGGTGCTTTTCTCCTCCCACTCCACTTACCTGGCCCAGGCCAATGTTGACACCACTAAGCTCTAGAAACGGAATAGACTTGCTGACTTGATTCCCAGCCATTTGAGCTATTTGGCCTTATATTAATAATTATTTTCCTAAGATCCCCGCCTGCCTCCCAGTTGCTCAGAGATGGCCCCACTGGAGTTGGTGTTGACTGGGCCAGCAGGAACCTGGGGCAGCCTCCTTTAACCTGACAACCAGGCTTTCTGCACTGGGGATGCACTGTGCTGTACCAAGAGCTCACAGACCCTCCCACTTCTGAGAGGCAGAAACATCCTCCTTTCTGCCTCCCTTTCAGGTGAGGTGAGCATCTGGGCAAGGAAGGAGCAAGGTCCTGTGTAATAGCAGCGCATGGCACTTTACCTGACAATGACGCCCGGCCGGAGGTCGAAGTTCTTATGCACCACATCCAGCAGCTCTCGCTCTGTCTTCTGAGAGGTTCCGTAGGTGAAGATGGAAATGGACAGCGGCTCGGCCACACCAATGGCATAGGAAACCTTCCAGCAAGGTGCAGCGTCAGGGATTGAAGCCTCTGTGTGGGCCCTGCCCCTTTCAGAAGCTTTGCCCTTCTTCTGAAGGGACCAGCGGGGACCACATGCCTCTTGCCCCACATGCTCCCCTGCAATTTTCCTGCTATCTTCACCGAGGGCAGTTCTTCTACACGCCTCTCTCCCTGAAGATTCTGGTTTTCCCTCCCCTAGGTTTTCAGAGCCCTGGCCACAGTGCCCAACACAATCACACAATCACAACCTTTGGCAAAGCATGCAGCTTTCCCACCGGGCCAACATCCCCTCACTCAGGGCAGAACTGGGCAGGGGTCCTCCACTGCAACAGGACGGTGGTGGGTGGAGGGGGCTTACCTGGACAAGCACTCTCCGGCAGAGCCCTGCTTTCACCAGAGACTTGGCCACCCAGCGGGCAGCATATGCAGCTGAGCGGTCTACCTTGGTGTAGTCCTTCCCAGAGAAGGCCCCACCACCATGAGCCCCCCAGCCGCCATAGGTGTCCACAATAATCTTACGGCCAGTGACACCCGCATCCCCCTGCAGAGGGAGAGAAATCAAGATAAGAAGCAGAGCCAGCCCCTAGATGCTGGAGGGGGCTGAAGTACTGTGATGGCAGCTGAACTGCAACTCAGGAAGGATGTCCTGGGGCTGCCCACAGACATTTTCCTAAGACCCCTTAGCCCAGAACTCTGGACTCCACTCCCAGCTCAGTCACTGACAACATATTGAAAACAGGTAACCTGCCAAAGCTTCATTAGCAAGTGCAGAAGGTGGGCCAGGGGTTCTCTGGGGTCACAGCCACTCCCTAATGCCTTTGTTACTGAGTCCATCACAATGGAGAGATCCAACTGCAGGCAGGAACTGCACTGTCATAAATACAACCCTGGCTGGTGCCACCTAGCAAATGCCATGCTGCCCACTTCCCAAGTGTCCTCTGGGCAACACCAGTCAATAGTGATGTCTTTAAAAGGGTGGGAGTTCTATGTTAAATGATTTGGGGAAGTCTGCCTGCTCTACTCCCCCTTTTAGAGATCCACAGTTCATACTAGTATGTCTAGGCTTTGAGAAGTCCTGCAAGAAAAAACAATAAGTGTTACCTCCTTCTACTCTGTGTTTCTACACTCTACTTGCTACTGGAACCCGGGATGGAGCTCAACTCTGGCAAAGCACACACGGCTGAGGGCCCAGGCAGTGGGCAGCAGCCTCACAGCAGTGCCCTCAACCTCCACCTCCTCACACTTGCAGTACAAGAGAGGGGGCAGTGGTGCCCTGTCTAAAACACCCTGTCCCACTCTGGTGCCCACAACAGCCAGAGGCAGCCTGTGGTGAAGATCTGGAAACAGCCACCCGGGAACAGCTGTCCACGTGCAAATGCTGCAGTGGGGAATGTGCACCAGAGCAGGGTGAGGTGCAGCAGCCGTGGGTAAGGTCGATGGTCACTTGAGATGGCAGGAGTGGGAGGGCCCAGTGGCGCTAAGTGGAGGAATCCTAGGGACATATCCCCCATTTCTTGCACACTGTCAGACACATAGCAGACCTCCCCAGAGAGTGCACTAAATGTACAGAGGCCAAAATTCACCGACTTTACATTTAGTCCATGGCCAGAGTCAGCTGACCCCCTCCAAGCTATCTCTTGAGGTTTTCCTGCTCTGAGACATAAGCAACCCCAGTAACAAAGACAAACCAGGGCTTCGTTCAGAGACAAGAATGCACCTGGGGACCTCCGATGACAAACCGCCCACTGGGCTGCAGGTGGTAGACGGTGTCTTCGTCCAGGTACTTGGCCGGCACCACGGCCCTGATGACTTGCTCCTTCAGGGCCCTGCGCATCTCCTCCAGCGTGATGTCTTCGTTGTGCTGCACAGAGATGACGATGGTGTGGATGCGCACAGGGATGACTGCGCCATTGTCCTGCATGTACTGAACTGTCACCTGTCCATCAGAAGGGTGGGGGAGATACTGTGAGGCTGAGGCTGAGCGAACGGCACATCGTGGCCAGACACAGGCACCCAGGAGGTGGGCAGGGCTCCCAGGAGCCAAGTGGGGCCTCCTGTCTTCAAAGGGTGTTGGGGGAGTTAATCTGACACATTCTTACGTTCAAAAAATTGCCTGGTGCTGTGGGAGGACTGGGTGTAAGGCCCAGCTATTCCCACATGGGGCCACAATTAGCACTGCTTGGAGACTTGAGTTTCCTCTCAACTTCTGACCCACTACATGTCTCCTCTTCTGTCTCAGAGGCTTCCAGGTGCCAGCAAATGTCCCCCTGGCCAAAGCCCTTTCTTGACCCTCTATAGCCCAGGAGGTATCTCTCCTCCTGCCAATGATGCAGATAAGAAAGCCAAGGATCCAAAATGTAAATGTCTTGGTCAAGATCACACAGTCGGAAGAGCTGGGATCTGACCTGGAGCTGCATGGGCTGGTAGACAGGGCTCTTCCAAGAAGAAGGTTGGATGCCACTCAAGACCCTGTGCTGGCCACAGGCCCAATACTGCCGAAAGCAGCATGGACCCACAAGAGCAGGGCTCAGAGGATTTTAGGGACATGTGGTGCCCGCAGGGGTGCAGCTCTGCCAGATGGCCCTGGGAGGGACACTGGCCAGTGAGTATGGGACTGCTCCCATCCCAGGGCCTGGACAGAACCACGGGGCAGCAAACAGTGGCTCCCTGGGACTGTGCCTGCAGCAAACTCTCTACCTCCCCAAGGCTACTCAGGTATCCATCAAACCCTGGATCTGTATCAAACTCCTACTCTGTGTTCTGCCTGGTCTAAGGAGCAACAAGGAAGGTCCAGAAGAAGTAGGAGAAAGAGTCCTGGCCATGTAAGATCTGCATGAGATGGCCCGATGCACACAGACATCGTGAGCTGAGAGAAGTCCTCAAATGCCAGGCTGTGCACACACACGGCCCTGGGAAAGGGGCTGGAATCTGGGGTAGGGGACTCCCAGGAAAAGAGGCACTGTCTGTGGCAGACTCTAGGACTGGGTCTAGTCTGCATGGAGCCTCGGGAGAAGGTGCACAGCTGGGGAGGGTGCTCAGGCCGTCTCCACTGCTCCCCTGGGTGACTCCACCCCCACCCGGCAGACTCCACGCAGTGGCCTTGCAGAACTGCAGAATAGGGCAGCAGAGCAAAGGGCCCTGAACACGGCGCTTATCTCATCATGTCAGCAAGATGTGGGGAAAAACACACCATGGAAAACACAGCTCTGACTAGGTACAAAAATAGCCATCCACACTGCCACCCAGGCCTCACTATCAGCAGCAGGGATTTGTTCAGGTGGAAAGACCCATCCTGCTCACAGCCAGCAGTCCAGCTGGATGAAGACACTACTTCAAAAACAGGGTGCGGAGCAGGGGACCTAGACAAGCTGTGCCTGGCCCAGGGCCTCTCTCATGGAGGGAGTGTCTAGAGCAAGCCAGGCTGTTCGCAGGCCAGCTGGCGAGGGGCCTCCTGGAGCCCCACAGCAAGTCTGCACCCCCTGAGACTGGAGCTGGCCCGCGGTCCTGCCTGTGGCAGGGAAGTGAGGCTGACTCTGGTATCTGTATTGGCATTTTCGAGACAATCCTTCAAAGGAAGGGAACCCCTAAAAGAGCCCATCCCACCCTCCCTTCCTTGCTGACCCCTAAACCTAGAAACCTTCTATTTCATATCTAAGCACAATGAACCTGTTTCAGCAGGTCCAGTAGGTGGTCCCTCTGTTCCTCTCTCTTGCACAAGGAAGAGAAAAAACAGTCAGAGCCACTGGCTACCTCCCCTCCCTGTTCTAAGATTTCCCCTTCTGTGAATCTTCACCCTGCTTCTATATCGCAGCACCATTCCAGTCCAGGACAGGACAGGCAGGCCGACATCATGGGCCCCTTTCTTTGGGTGCCATCACGATCTACATGTTTTAGCTCTCCTAACTCACAACCTCCAAGAACACCCAAGGAATGCTGATGGTTCCCATCCCCACCTTGGGGGGTCATGTGGATAACACAGGAAGTCCCAAGGAAGGGTTCCCTTTGGGCATAAGCACACTTCCCTGCCCCAGTACAGCCAGTATGCAACCTCTGCCCTGTGCATGGTCTGACACTTGCACAAGAAGGAACTCCATCTCTGTACAACTGGAGTTGTACATGGAGCCACACACAGCACGCTGAGCTATAACACCATGGGTGCCAGATTCCAAGTGCAGGACAAGAGAAGGCGCTGGCGCTGTCTGCTAGTGGCCAGGGATGGCATCCCAAAAGAGGTAGAACTTTGCTGGCCACTGAAGGAGAGGTGAAGACCAGAGAGGGAGCTCAGGTAAAGCAAAGCCCTAAGAAACAAGGGGACAATGAGTGAAATGATGTCGATTAAGCAAAGATGGTGTGGGGCAGGCAGAGGCAGGTAAAGTTGGAAGACCATAAAAGGTTGTGAATGCCAGAATAATAAGTGGATTTCCCCCTTCCCCTTGTAGGAAGCCCAAAGTTGTAGAAAACACTGAATAGATGTTAGGGAATTAAAAATGAGGCCTAAAGGGGATTAGCTGGAATTTCCAAGCAGGGAGTACCTTTGGAAGGATAGGCCACTGATCCTGGCCTGGCTGGGATGATGGCAGCCCTGGGGAAGGCTGAGCTGGAGCGAGAGGGGTGCTTGATGGGGTAAACTGGGGACATGGGTAGGTGGAGAGAGATGGCGCTGAACAGGACGGGGGAAGGGCAGGAGGGAGGTGGCAGGGTGCTGCACACGGCAGGCTCTCAGGGCCCATCTGCTTGGAGGGTGATCAGAGAAACCCACAGGTGGGAGTATGTGAAGGTGACAATGGGGTCCACGAGCATGGACACAGGGAGAGAAGTTGTGCAGTATGAAGTGCTGGGAACTTGGGAATCATGAGAGGGCTCATTGGGGTTAAGCAGGGAGGGGATACAGGGGTGAGGTGCCAGGAGGCCTGCGTCTCCACTAACACTTGAATCACCTCAGCCTTCAAATATAGGCCTTGGGTTGATTTCAACACTGCAGGGAGAAGACAGGTCAGGGCCCATGGGTTTGGAGCTGGAAACAACAGACGTAAAGCCTTTTCATGAGAAACAAAGATGAGAAAAAGGGTCATGATGAGACAGACAGCACAGACAGACAGCACAGACACAGCACAGACAGCGCAGACACAGCACAGACAGACAACACAGACACAGCACAGACACAGCACAGACAGCCTGTTCAGGACAAAGAGGCCTGAAAATATGGAAGCCAGTTAAGTATGTTTGTGGCAGGATTTGGGGACTCATTAGTCAATGTTTACTAATGAGCAAACAAAAAAAACGGAACTATTCTTTTCATTTCTCTGTATTTTTGAAATTTTTTATAATAAAATGTTGTGGGAAGCATCTCTAGCTGAAGATTTTTCACATAAATAGTTCTTTTCAAAACTGACCATTCTTTGAATGCCCAGATTGAATATTTCGATCTTAAAAATGACACAATCAAGAATCAAGAGGATTTGGGGGTATTAAAGCTTCTGTCTAGGGCTCTCCTGGGGTAATTCAGCTGCTCACCTGAGTCTTAGAGTCAGGCCGCAGCCAGGGGAGGAGGCCGGAGCGCCTGAGGTCTGCCATCCGGGCGTTGAGCTTGTGAGCAAGGATGATGGTGAGGGGCATGCACTCCTCTGTCTCGTCGGTAGCATAGCCGAACATCAAACCCTGTGGCGAGAGAGCAGGCTGAGCGGCGCCCACCCTAGACCAAGAGGACCGCAGCTCTCTCCAAGCCTGAAATCTCCCTGGTGTGTCCACGTTGATTGGGTGCCTCCTCCATGGAGCTTTCCACTGGCATGTGCAGGGGAAGGACGTCATCCCTGACCCCCAACACTCTAGGAGGGGGAGACAAGCCCAAACCCAGTGTCAGCAACCACAGCCATCCACAGCACGGCCGTGAAGCTGGGGTTCCCAACTCGCTCCTGGCTATCGTGCTAGGACAAGAATCCACCCCTCAGTGTGATTAACCCACTGCTCATGAACTTTCCCAGCCAGCTCAACACACAGCTCCCACATGCAGTGCCGAGCTACCTGATCTCCTGCCCCCACATCCTCCTCATTTCTGTCCAGATGGACGCACTGGGCAATATCTGGGGATTGCTGCTCCAAAGCCACCAGCACGTTGCAAGTCTTGAAGTCAAAGCCTAGGCGGAAGCAAAGTGAGCCTAAGTGGGGAACAGGTCAGAAGGAGGGGGCCACAAACTTCCCAATGGATGGCTCGGTTCCTGACATGCCATTTGGTGTCAGCGTGGGGGTTCCCTAACTAGCCAGGGTCTGTCTAGGCCCACAGCTGAGGCCCAGGATGGGAGAGGCCCCGCACCTTCCCACCCTATCATGTAGAACTCTTTGGCCAACCAAAATTCTCCGTGGTGCATTTTACTGTGCTCAATTAGACCTTGGTTAACACACACACACACATCCTACAGAGACCTGCAGATTAAAACAAGGTGATGCCAAGGCTCCTCTGGCTGAGGACGGTGGCTGACTCATACCCTGCCCCTCAGGCTCTCCCACAGGTGCCTCCCAGAATCTAGTTTGAGCATCACTGCACTAGGAGAAAATCAAGAGCCCTTTTGATACTGTCACTCAGAAGCCCAGCTGTATGCCTGACACAACTATTAAACATACTGAACAAATACAGTGTACATGAACTATCCAGACAGACTCCCCAAGCCAGGGTCCTCTGACCCTGAGAGGTACACAGAGTCTGGGGCAAATGGAAAAGCCACCTGCCCTTTCCCATCTACAAAGCTGAGGCACAGGGTGCAGGCCTGCTACACCTAGCACGCGAGGCACTGGTTTGGGGAAGTCTGGACTAGCAGTAGCTCAGCCCTGGGAGTCCCATGAGGAAACTGCTATGCACCGAGACCGTGCGCACCTCCTCACAGCTGTGCTGGGCTCAGTCACAGGGACTGTGAGAATAAGGGACTGAATACATGGACGCCCCCACCACAAGGTCAAGCATAGTGACACACTCACTCTCCAAACCCCCACAGCCATCTTCCTTCCCATCTATTCTCCTACCCACACAGCCTGAAAGGGCTTACAGAGAAAACACACAGATCCAAGCTGCTGTTTCTGTACAAGCTTCAGGTGGGGATCTACTGCCAAGGAATAAAACTGAAGCTTTTCAGTCTGACACAGCCCTTGCTCCTGGGACTCCTTGAGCCAACATGAACTCAAGTTTAGCCATCAGCATGATATACTTTTCCATCTCCACTAGGTCCCTGCCTAGAACGTTCTACCTCCAGCTCCCACCCCACATGCCCAAACCCCACGTCCACTCTCAGTGCATGTCCCTGGACCTGCCTGCAGTTCATTAGACACAATGCCAGGAACTTACCCCAGGGCACCTCATGTTGCATCATATACCCTGGGAGTATCAGGTCACCTTTGCCCTTTACACCCTCCTGTTTCCTAATGAATGTTTTTGAATGCACAAATCAATGAACAGTCTTTAAAGAACTGCCAAAAGCTGTCCTGTTCTGCACTGAACATTTCAGTTTACCTAATCACTGTCTGTCTAAATAATGAATCTCCCCAGGGCTCAAAAATCAAGCAAGGGCTCCAAGGAATTTGGAAAAACAGAACTTAGGGGACCAAGAGGGGAGGTACAGGACTTGGAAAGGACAATGAGCCCAGCAACACCGCAGCCAGGAGCAACGAGGAGCCACTGGCCTGAGACCCTGCTAAGGCTGTTCCTGTCCACTGAGCACAGGTAAATGGACAAGCTTGGGCACAGGGAACCTCAGCCAGCTGAGCTCAACTCAGCCACGGCTGGGCTCTCGCTCATTTCTCCCTTTCTAGGGAACATTGCCTCCTGGAAAATTTCCCTCCTGCCTAATGCAGAAAAAGTTTTGCACTTGAATAAGGTCTAAATGTACATAAACAAATTGGCTTTTTTTTTGGTAGAACAGGCTCCGTGTGGTAACGCCTCAGGAAGCTGCAGCTCTGGGACAATGTGTTTCCTCTGTGAATACCCTCATGTCCCGACCAGGAGAATTAACTGGTTCTTACTGCTTCTCTTCCCACTGAGTCTCAAAATCACTGTCATGCACTCAACCAATATTAATTGCTCATGAGTGCTTTGGGCTGCACCAGGCCATGGCTGGACTGAACCTCTGCGAGTCTGCACCATCATACCATGAGTGGGCTCTCTCACTTACAAACGGGGGTCCAGCACCCTGACCCACAGGATGCTACACATCACCCTAGACAACGATTATGTGACACAGGCAGAAATGAACACCTTTAAAGTCATGCTTCTCTCTGTGCATCTTGATTACAGGTGTATAGCTAGGCAGGATGACCTGGAAGTGGGTCTTTTTGCCATGGCGTGAGGTCATCACATCTCTCACAGTGATTTCAGAGAATTAGGGAAAGAGCTAACAGAGACCCAAAATGAATTTTTCTTTAAAAATTAGAATTGCCTGAACATCTAATGCCAGAGACCAACGTGGAGACTCTAAGAATTGGGGCCAGAGCCCTGCCCAGGAAGCCAGCATGGACAAAGGGCCCCTGAAGCTCCTGCAGAATGTGATCGCATACAGGCCCTCCGCACCTGGTGTCTGCTCTCTGGGTCCTTTGCTGCCCTCCAGGCTGTGCCGCTGCCTGGCCTGCTCAGTCTCAGATGTTGGAATCTGCTTCAAAGTTCTGCTAGGGCCTGTGCCCCTTCCCTGGGTGGTGGCCCCACACTATGTAGCACTGGTGCTAACCTGGACCAGCCTCGCCTGCTGTCAGCACCAGTTCTGGACTGAGTCATCTTGCTCCATGTCTATGATTGCAAGTAGGTTTAGTGGAAGCACAGGAGTCCTCAGCCTAGTGGCTGCTTACCCTGTGATCTCACACAGACTGTTTACCCCTCTAGGCCTCCATTTCCTCGTCTGCATAAGTACATAAATGATTAAGACAACACAAGAGACTATCACCAGTGCCTGGCAGCGAGCATGTCCCCAAAGGAGGGCAGCCCCCTTTATTCAGTGCATCTTTCTCTTCCAAAGCCTTTGGCAGCGCCAAGAAGGCAAGGCCTAAAACAAGCCCAATCAACAACAGATGGGCATGTGCTGGGCCCACTGGGCATAGTCGCCTGTTGGCCATCCTTATGCCAGAGTCTTTGACCCCTGGAACCTGACAGACAAGTGTAGGAGTGTTTTCCTCCTGGTAGTATTGATGCTCCCATCGGGCTGAAAGGCACGGGTTTGACTCAGCACTGGGGTCTCTATCAGCAGAGAGCAACAGGGATTTCAGACCCGGAGGCCTGCCCTCACCCTTGGCTGAGTCATCGTAGCCGATGTGCTTGATGGTGTCCCTCACCACCCGCTGGTAGTCCACCATGGCCATTGAGGTGATCTCACCACACAGCAGCACCATGCCGGTCTTGCACACTGTCTCTGAAAGGGAGCGGGGAGCGAGGAGAGTTAGCAGCCAAGTGCCAGCAAAGGGAAGCTCACATTCCCAGACCTCTCACAGTGCAGACAGAAAAGACACAGGAGGGGCCTTACGAGGAATGGATTCCAGAAGGAAAATAGAAACGCCAATAAAAAGAAAAAATCCCAGCACCAAGCACTGAGCATCTTCCAATGCTGTCTTGGAAAGAGTCAGTCATAAGCTGTGATCCTGGACAACTTATTTAACCCCTCTAAGTCTCTGTTCCCTCATCTATTTAATAAAGCTATTTATAAGACTGCTATGTGGATTAAAGGGAGATGATGGTTGTATGTAGCTGTCATAAAGAAGGTAGTCCACACATGTGACCCCCCATCCCCCACATTGCTAAACCTCCACTGCAGGCTTTAGGGAGTGGGATCTGGACCAAAAAAAATCAAAGCAGGCCAACCTTCTCTCCAGATATTTACAAAGATATAAGGGTAGAATCTACCTTCAGAGGGGCATGAGTCCCTGTAGTATTCAATACAGGGCTGAGGATGCAACCAGAGAGGGAAGGATGGGTCTGTGCAGTGGACAAGACATGACAATGACAGTAAGGAGAGCAAGGCTCTGGTCTTCACACTGGGGCACCCTACCCCATGGCCTTGGCCAGGCCCTGATGCAGAGGGTACCGTGATCCTGTCTCTAAAATGAACAGGCTGGACCTGATCACCCTGGGGCCCCTCCAGACTCCAGAGTCCATGACTCTGCCACTGTGCCACAGGCTTCAAGCCAGGCAAAGGTTTTCCTGCCAAACAACTTATCCCACAAATAAAGGTGAAGATCTTCAGCCTACATGAGTCTTCAGACACAATAAATTATGCAGATGGGAGCCAGGGCTTCAGTACTTTAGTTTAACATTAATGTCTCTTAGGAAAGCCATTGATTTATTGAAAAACAATTGGTGAAGATGTTGCCTTCCTGTTGCTATTAAATGGGGGACACTAATTATTTTAAAACCTAAATCATACCACAAACTAGGAAAGAAAACAAGAGAAGAAGCCAGGTATCTGTGCAGCCAACAAAGGCTCCTACAATGAGGATGCAGCTTATAACCATCTAGGCAGCTACCTGTGTTTCAAGCTCTTGCATCCCGTCTGGAAGATTCACCTAAGAACTTTGAAAGACCTCCTTGTTCCCAATGAGATCAAGCATCAGAAAGGCCATGTGCTGGTCCAACCCTCTGCTATTTATGGTTGCTATGACATTTAACGTTAGATTCTTGCTAAAAATAATTATCTATTTGTTTCATGGTTAGAAATGTTTTTCCTCCCTGTTACTACACAGGGGAGGTCTCATAATTGAGAAATCTACTGCAGAGCAGAGGACATGGATTTTGGAACTGAGGAGTATGGCTCGTTTGTCTTATACCCATGATTAATTTCTCAGTCTAGCCCACTTAGGTCTCCAGCAGGGAGGGATCGGGTGTTTCTTACCACAGGCCACCTTGGCATTGGGGTCTTGCTTGAGATGGGCATCCAGCACTGCATCACTGATCTGGTCACAGATCTTATCTGGACAAGAGCAAATATGGGTCAGAATCACAAAAATATTCGGGATAACAAATTGAAATCTTAAAATAATTAGATATCGACTTTTCAGTTTACATATCAACTTATCTACCAGAGGGAAAACACTTTTTTTAAGTATAAGAAATTAGAAATACTTTGAAATTTTTATTTATTTCCATTCCTGCCTAATTTTGGATGACACGTATTATATAAAGTCATAGAATGCCCTAAAAAAGAAATACCTTTTTTTTTTTTTTGAGATGGAGTGTCAGTCTATCACCCAGGCTGGAGTGCAGTGGTGTGATCTCGGTTCACTGCAATCTCCACCTCCCGGGTTCAAGCAATCCTCCCACCTCAGCCTCCCAGGTAGCTAGGATTACAGGCTTGTGCTACCACGCCTGGCTAATTTGTTTTGTATTTTCAGTAGAGATGGCGTTTCACCATGTTGGCCAGGCTGGTCTTGAACTCCTGGTCTCAAGTGATCCGCCCACCTCAGCCTCTGAAAGTGCTGGGATTACAGGTGTTAGCCACTGCGCCCGGTCAAAATCAGCTCTTCTAGGAGTCTAACGCAACTCACACATAAACAAACACACACGCATTCTTCTAAATAAAAAATCTCTCATTCCTCATCATGTTCCCTTTAATTCTAACATCTACAAAAGTCCTGAAAATGAACTTAAAAATAGTTAAGAAGTCAATTTTACCTCTTTGCCAAGAGGTAAAATCAGACGGCTCAAACAGCTGCATTGCATGGCAGGTTCCACAAGATGCAATGCACCGTATATAAAACACCACACCCAAGTACATGACTCCACCCATAAGAATTCTACAAGATAACCCCTATACATCATTGTTGTTTTGCAGAATACTTCCATAAGCAGCTCTCAGATCTCCCACATGGTCACTCAGCCTCCCGAAAGCCAGGTGTCCTTAGAGCTGGGCTTGACCTCTTCAATTACTGTAGGACTGACAAGGGTTCAACATGAGCTGGAATTTGATTTTATTCTTCCACTATTTGCCTTAAAGACTCTGCAGGGTCTAAAATGTAAAGCACTAAATGGTGCTTGTAGGAAAATCTACTCTTGCTTTGGGGTTATGCAAACTGTCAATATCTACAAATTAAGAAATAAAAGTGATCTCTATCTACATATATTATAGCTCATTCAGTGTTAAAAATACCCACAGTCTGCTCTTAATAGAGTAATATGTTTTTGTTAAGAATCCAGATCCAGAATCAAGCAGTTTGGCTCTCAAAAGCAGATGTTAAATTCTGTAATTAAAGATATTCATTAATTCCTTAATCTTTCCTTTAGAAACTACTGCTAAACATATGTTTGAGGTTGTGTTTTGTTTGTTTGTTTGTTTGTTTAATCTAGCCTCCTGCCAGTGGCAGACCCTGGTAGTACCTTTAGGTTTGTCTGAGCCCTTAGCCTCTACACACTTCTACCACTGAAGGCCTCTCGCTGATAAAATATCCTAAAATAAATACATGCTGGCCACCTTAGGCTTACCCATCAGAGTTCCTAGAAGCTTGCTGACTGATCATTGATTGTGAATGTCTCTGCCTGTGCAGACACAGCTCACAGGCTCCCACTCTGCCTAGGGAAATCCAACAGGAGAAGGAACAAAGCTGGAGTCCAGCAGGGGCTTCCAGATAGCACCACACACAAGACAATGCCCAAGGAGGTTGTTTCTGAATTGTTTTTGTTTTTGTTTTGGCTTTCAAAATTTTTATCAATATCACTTAGTAGGCTTAAGATAGCCAATAGTTGTTTTTTTGGAAAACCAGAGAAGAAAACCTTTATCTTTCTAGCAGAGAGGAATTCAGCAATGGAATGACAAGCAGAAAGTCACCTAGCCTCCATGGAAACTGACTTACCTGGACAATTACAATGGCAAGTACAAGGGACGATTAGACAAATTGATTGGCTGTCATTAAGTATACAAAACAATCAATTGATTGGCTGGCACGTTCATTCTCAGTCCTCTGAGCACATTGCTGCTGCGCACAATGGACCATTCTTGGGACCACTAGCCGCTGCATGCCAAAAAACCCACTTCCTCCGGGTGGAGTGAATCTTTCTCCTAACCTATACATGAGGCTCATAGCCATGGAGCTGATCAGAATGTGTCAGAAATCAGCAATGTATCTGAGATTGAAAATACAGTAAACCTAGATACTTTATACAGTTATGCACAATGAAAGAGGCTATTTACATTGAACTGAGCTAAGTCACATAAAAAACTCAATTCAATTCAAGGTTTTTCAACAGCTGCACTATTAACATTTTGGGCCAGATAATTCTTGAGAGGCTGTCCTGTGCACTGTAGGATGCTTAGCAGTGTGCCTGACCTCTACTCAATACATGGCAGTAGCACCTTACCCCCACCTCCTATAGTTGTGATAACTGCAAATGTCTCCAGACAGTACAAAATGCTCTTGGGGGTTGTGGGGCAAAACTGCCACCAGTCAAAAACCACTGGCTAAAGTATATGGAAGGAGTAGTGCACTGAGGTGTCCAAAGCCAAGTTACAAGGTAGGAAAGATAAATATCTTTGAGGAAGAACAAGAGCAAGGAAGATGGAAAAAGGCAGACTTGGCAATAAGTTAGCAAACACTCGAATGAATTTTGAAGAGGGACTTAACTATAGAAGTCTGTACATCTATCCCCCAGGGGTCTCCAAGAGCAGTGGTTCTCACCCCAGAGCATCAGCATCTCCTGGGAACTTGTCAAAAATGCAAATTCTCGAGCCTCTCCCAAGACCTACTGAATCAGAAACTCTGGAGGGTGGGGCCCAGCCCTCTGTTGTCTTGACAAGCCCTCTGGGGGATTCTGAAGCTCCCTGAAGTTTGAGAACCACTGTCCTACACTTGAGGCTCTGAATGTCCTGGTCCTAGTTCTCACCGTCATCAAGGAAGCTTCTCTCACTTCCGCACATCACAGTCTACCTACTTTTCAGGGACCAAAATCAATGCCTAAATTTTCTTCCTGTTTAGAAGGTCTTCTATTCTGCTCTTAGAGAACGTTACTGAGTCCCCAGCACCTAGAGGTCTACCCCAGCAGTGACCAGGGTGCAGGCTTTCATGCCTAAGTTGCACATGCTTCACATGCAAAATTTAGTCACCCATGGTCTTGTTTCAGGAACATTCCCTGTTGACTTAAATTGGCCATGGATAATAGATTAAAGCTTTCCTAAAAAAAAAATACATATAAAAAGTTAAGACCTGATCATATATTTTGCATGTGTCATACTCTTAGCCAGCCAGCTGCTACTCCCTGTCTTGGACCCACTGTGCTGGCGTGCTGGTGGTGGGCCACAGCACGGCTTCATCAGGAGGGACTGTTTTATGAAACTACTCCATGCTGTTTCTCTAGAGATCCCTTCTGGTAACTCACACACATTGCTCTGAAGAGCTCTGGTAAAAGTGACTCCTACAGGTACGAAGTTACAGTCAGATAGGAGGAATGAGCTCTGGCATTCCATTGCGCAGTAGGGTGACTGAAGGGCTAGAAGAGGGAATTTTGAATGTTTTCACCACAAAGAAGTAGTCAATGTCTGTGGCAATGGGTATGCCCATTATCCTAATTTGATCATTAAATGTTATACTCATGGATCAAAACAACACACGGTACCCCATAAATATGCACAATTATTATGTGTCAAATTAAAACCATTTGTAAGTGACTCCCTCAGTATAGGCTTGGAATGATCGTTTTCCAGTCAGTCCAAGACAGCCTACTTACCCGGGTGTCCCTCTCCCACAGACTCCGATGTGAACATGAAGACTCCTTCACTTAGAGAGTGGTCACACAAGCCATCCACCGGTCCATTCATCTTCTCACACTTCTCCACTCACGCTTCTTTCAGTGAACAATTTTGAGGCTGTGACTTTGCCTGAGTTTTTTTTTCTTCTTCTTCTTCTTCTTTCAACCCAACAGGCTTGTCTTTGGCAGAGCCACGGGGATCACTTCTGCCTAACTGCCTGTGAGCACGTGAGAACAGGCGAGGACTGCTGAGAAGGGAGGGAGTGGATGGAACACGGGATGTGTCCCTCCCTCCAGCTTGCCACAGCTTGCTCCTGAGCGACTCCTATATATGGAAAAGCGAAAGTGCCTGAAAAATCATGTGAGAAAATTGGAGGAGTCCATTTCCTAAGAGGGGGGTCTTCTTACCTGGAGGAATTTCAATTCTTATCCCTGACTTTCCAAACTCTAAGCACCTGGTCAAGGTAAGGTAAAGAAGGCTGTATAGTTCTGCAGAATTGAAGCTCCTTTGGGACTCTCCTTCAGCTCTTAGCCAATCTTGGTAGTGCTCCAGAGTTCACAACCCACCTTGGAGAGCAGGGGTCTGTGATCACCCAGAGATACAAGCAGGCAACAAGAAACTCTTTCTCAGAGATATGGTTTAGGCTAAGATTGCAACAGTGCCTTTGCTGTTGGGTGTCCCCTCCTCCCCTGCGTCTCATCTGGATTGGTCTCTTCCCATTCTATCTTCTCAGGGAGAGCAGGAGCACGCACCTGTATTCTGAGCCAGCTGTGATGTTACACAACAGATTCATTTTAGAGGAAAAGCTTTGAGTCCACGTGTTTCTGCTAACAGAAACCACCTAACCTGTCAACTTCTCTAAAAGGCTGGCAGGCATTTTAACAAGCAAGATCTTTAAAAAGTATCTATCTGGGGAGGTTACAGAGAACAATGTGTGTGTGTGTGTGTGTGTGTGTGTGTTTTTTTTAGAAAAAAATGCTTTTGAGAAATGGATTCATTACAGGGAAATTATCAAAGTCCAGTTTCCCAAAGCTTCCGGATTATAAACATCTACATATTCAGTTCTATACATGTAATAAACATCGTGTTCACATAACTCTTGCATTATTTTTTGCTTTGACCAAAAAAAGTAGTAAACAGGATTATATCTTTAGTTCATGTACTAAATGACAGCGTCTCACACTCTCAGATCCAGCTGCATCCTCAGACCCAAGGAACAATGGGGAATTGAGACCACAGAAAATGAGGATGGGTGGAGAAACCAGTTCCCACTAGAATGCAATAAAAAGTAATCAACCATAACCTTGTGCATCAAAGCTTGGACTGTGGGAAGCAAAAGTTAGGAAGCAATAGCCTCACCTAACAATTCTGGTGACCAAACCCCCCTCTGAGTTTATTATCAAGCATTTGGAAAAATTTTTTCTGGCACACATTCTGGTGCTCCAAAGCTTGAGTTTTGCTAACTGATGACCAAACATCATCCCTTCAGGGAATTAAAGCAGTATTAAGGTGACCTCTTCTGGAATAAAGTAAGGGATGTTACATATGCATAGCCAATCAACGGCATTTAACAAGGAGTGAACTGAAGTGCTTAGGCACAAGACTGTTGAAAGTTCAGAGAGGAAAAGGCCACTGGGAAGGGATGGACAAACGAGGAATCAAATAGGGACTTTAGACAACATCGCCTTGTCATTGCCAGCACACAGGACTCCTCTGTTTGCACTTAAGCTATTTCAACATTGCTGGCCCTTAGTAAATTTCTTCTGGGTACATTAGTTTTAAACCTAGAGGCAATATGAGCTAATGTTTAATTTGAACTGTAGAACTAGGTGACCTTAGCAGTTAAAATTGTATGATAACAATTATGGTCCAAATTTGATTTAAGAACAAGATGATGTGTAAGTAGCAGGTACTCTTCAAGGTTCCTAGAGTTATCAGGAAGACAGAAAACAAAGCAGTAGCTGCCTTCTGAATTCCATAAGTAACAGCACCATGGGGTGGAAGGCGTCAGGGTGGGGAGACGATCTGTTACACAGATATGTGTGCAGGGGGCTTTGGCAGCCTGGATGCCAATTGAGGGTGTGAGGGAGGGATCTGAGAGGCACCTCGTTAAAAACTCATCTCAAGTATGAGTTTCATTTAAGACCCCAACTAAATACTAGGATGCCTTATATTCTTCTAGCAAGTAAATGTTAAGAAGCAGTACACGGAGCATGGTGGATGGAAGTGCAGGCTTCTGGACTAGGGTCCAACTTTTGCCTGTAACCTCCCATGCAGCATGGAGAAGGCTTCCTAACCTTTCTAATCTGTTGTTTCTTCTGCTGTAAAGCGGGTTAAATAATTACCTACCTCCTAGTGTTATTTTGAGAACTAAATGAGGTCATTTAGGTATGATGAGTATTGGACAAAGTGCTAGCACACAATACAAATTTAATAAATATCAGCTAATATTATTAAGCAGTCTATTTACATACATATGATTTTCCTCTGAACAAAAATAGATTATGGTATGTATACATATGTATGTATATGTGAATATACACATATACACATATAATTTTGCATCTCGCTTTTTTCCCCCCACAATATATCGTGGCCCTCTGTTCACATCTCTAAATACAGATAGGCCTTATGTTTTTTTATTGGGGGGGGATGAAGTCTCACTCTGTCACCCAGGCTGGAGTGCAATGGCATGATCTCAGCTCACTGCAACCTCCGCCTCCCGGGTTCAAGTGATTCTCCTGCCTCGGCCTCCTGAGTAGCTGGGATTAGAGGTGCACGCCACCACACTCAGCTAATTTTTGTATTTTTAGTAGAGACAGGGTTTCACCATGTTGGTCAGGCTGGTCTCGAACTCCTGACCTCGTGATCCGCCTGCCTCAGCTTCCCAAAGTGCTGGGATTACAGGCGTGAACCACTGCACCCAGCAGGCCTTATTTTTTAATACTTGAATAGTATCCCACAATAAGGATGTACCATAAATTATTAAACCATTCATTCCTCAGTGGTTAAATATTTTCAACTTCTCCAGTTATTTCACATCACTATAATGCTGCAGTGAAGGTCCTTATTCATCAGTATGTTTCTGAAAAAGATAATAATGGAAGGCTCTGGCAGTGCAGAACTAGCCAAAAGATTTCACTTTTGCAATGAATTTTACCTGATAAAAGAAGTAGCAATTCAACCAAGAGTTAAAATTGTAGTTTCAATCTACCCCCTTCAGAAAGAATTGGCAGATCTTAGCAAAGATGTAATTACTTTGAGAGTTGAACCTACAAGGACTTCATGGCCCTAATTTACCATCATAAACACAAATTAAGTCCTCCCTTACGCACAGCCTGTTCCCATCTCTCTTATGCTTGAATTGTCCCAATGGCCACTCCAAGCCCCAAACTCCACACTGGACTGATTACCTAAGTCCAATGTGTCAAAGGCACACAGTTGATCTCACTGACATGCAGCAGCCTTGAACTCTGAAGCTTCACTGACAAGCCTCTGGAGAAACTTGGCTTTCAAAATAAATCTCTCTTTCAGTCAGATTTACCCCGATGAATCTCTGAATATAAAACATCCAGTGGAAGACTGTTTCCAATAAGCAGTGCCTGTAAGTCCCACTGAGCAGTTTAGTGATGGAGCTTCGAGGGCACCTGACCCTAGGCAGCACCACGGGGCCGCAGGGGTGGTGGGGAGGCCCTGCCAGATGGTACCCTTTGCTGGCTCTGCACTGCCATGCCTGATGGGGAGGCCACAGGGAGGACCCTAGGTGCAGAGGTGGGGGGTGCAGGTGTTGTCTAAGTGCAAACATTTCTAAACTTTGGCTAGAAGCTCCTCTGACTTAAACGGCTAAATAATGAAATATTTTCAAGTGGATATACTGCTTTTGCCTCATTAATTTAAGCACAAACTTTTCCTGTAGATGCCACTCTGGAGCATGAATAAGTTACTTATGAAAGAAAGATGAAATTGATTCAGATTGTACATTTAGATATCAAAATAACAAACAGAACTTTGATAAAATAAATGTATTATGCTTTTCCCTTGTTAATCCGTCTTTTGTTATAAGAGCATCAGCTGTGACCCTTATGATGGGTAAGGAAAGCATAACACCTTTCCACCCCTACACACCCATATACAACTCCTATTCTGAAAAGGAAGAAAGACATGTTGAAAGACTTAATGCAAAAAGCAGGACTCAAGCTAGGGCCCAAAGGAATTACAGAACTTAGAAAGGCAACAGGAAGACAGAGAGGGTCTGGAAGGGAAAACTTCCCCAGCCACAGCTGGTGAAGTTAGTGCAGAAGAACATTGCCCCAACCCCACCTGGGGAGGGTGGGAGCAGATAACTGGGCAGGGAGGTAATGGCTGAGAAGCCAGGCACTCTAAGCAGTAAGTAGTCCTCTAGAAAAGCAGTGAAATGGGTTTCATTCTGACAGTGTAGAGTGCAAGTTAGATTTGAGAAGGAAGACTCCAAAATCAGAGAGAAGAGTTAAGACTCTTGCCTTGATTGAGGAATAACCTAATGAAGAACAGACCCTAAGATGTTCATGCAATATAATGAAATCCAGCTGTGCATTGTCATTTTTCAAAACTGTATTGTTTTTCTTAGTAGAATCACTTCGTCCCCCGACTTTAGAGGCTTGAAATCCTGGGAGGCGGTTTCAATTCCTGATTGTCTATCATCATATCCAAGTTTCCATAGTCTGTTAATTCTTTTTCAAAAGTGCCTTGGAATTCTCCCCTCCATTTCTGTGTTCACAGATAGTCACCTCTGCACCCATCCTTATCATCTCACATTTGAGTCAGGCATCAGCTGGGGCCAACTTCCCACACCAACATACCCTTTGGGGGTTGGCACCATGTTGCACATACCAGGAGTTTTAAAACTACCTGATGATTCATACCTAGAAAGATGAGCATCCCAGCTGGGCACAGTGGCTCACACCTATAATTCCAACACTTTGGGAGGCCAAGGCGGGTTGATTACCTGAGGTCAGGAGTTTGAGACTAGCCTGGCCAACAGGGTAAAATCTCGTCTCCACTAAAAATACAAAAATTAGCCAGGCATGGTGGCGGGCACCTATAATCCCCGCTACTCGGGAGGCTGAGGCAGGAGAATCACTTGAACTGGGGAGGCGGAGGTTGCGGTGATCCGAGATCACACCACTGCACTCCAGCCTGAGCAACAGAGTGAGACTCCATCTCAAAAAAAAAAAAAAAAAAACAGAAAGAAGAAAGATGAGCATCCCTTAGGCTAAC